>NC_000011.10:39302424-39453939 GCF_000001405.40 Homo sapiens | reverse complement strand
CCTCAGCCTCCAAGATTCAAGTGATTCTCCTGCCTCAGCTTCCCGAGTAGCTGGGACTACAAGCACGTACTACCACGCCCAGCTAATTTTTTTGTATTTTTAGTAGAGACGGAGTTTCACCATGTTAGCCAGGATGGTCTTGATCTCCTGACCTTGTGATCCACCTGCCTCAGCCTCCCAAAGTGCTGGGATTACAGGCGTGAACCACCGTGCCCGGCTGATCTATATGATTTTTTAAAGTTCTCTCTCTATATTAAGAATACAGACTTTAATCTACTATAGTTTATAACCCTTTTGCATTTATTTTACATTCACATTTTGTATCTTTTATATACTAATATTTAAAGTACTTACTTTACCAAATCTTTTCAAATGATTTATGCTTTCAATATAATACTTAGAAATATTCTTCCTTACTATAATTGTTAATTATGAACATATGTTTTCTTATAGTTACTTTTTTAAATTTATGTTTCCCTCCCATGGAGCATAACAGATCAGCTGAGAAATCTAAAATGTATTTGAGGGAGACCTGCATTCAGTTTACTCGATGGAAACACAATATATTCGTTCACTGAATTGCGGGAGACATTGGAAGAAATACAGAAAATAATTAGACAAAAGTTACTGTTTACCTTCTTTTGATCATAATAGTAAGATGAGCCAAGATGATAGATTACTTTTCATTCTTCTAATGCCATTCTTAAAACACTGACTACATAGTAGCTACTCTTGCAGCTCTCGTTTGTGGGTCAATTTGGGGCAAATTGACTCTGGGCTCATCTGGGAGGCTCTGCCAATTGAACCTGAAGCCACTCATGCTTCTAAGGGACATATTGGGGTCGATGATATAGACTGGTCTTAGTTTGGATCTGCTATGTATATCTCTTTTCCTCCTCCTGGGAATGGTATGCTAGCCAGGGCATGTTTTCTCATGCTAATGCCAGAAGACACAGAGAAAAAGTTCAGTTATGCATGTATTTTTAAACTACTTGGTCATATCATTCTAACATTCCACTGGTCAATGCAAATGATGGATAAGGAAATATATTTTACTTGTCTTACTGCAAATCACAAAATGAATGGATGGGGGATATAAAAATAACTGGGACCATTAATGCATTTTATCACAAATGATACCCTTTTAAATTTAATTAGATGAGGAGAGATACATGTCTTACTAGTTCCACCTGGGAGAAAGATCGATAGTGGAAATTGGAAAGTATTTGTGCAGTAGATAAAAGAGTGAGAAAATAAAGATTTGAATTTTATAGTGACATAAAAGATATTGCACTGAGACTGTGTGATTTGGAAATTCTTGAGTCCTGAATATATTTTTCTTTCAACCTGATGGGATATTAGGTAATATAGAAAAGGAAAAGGTCTTTCATAGATGACTTGACCTATGGAATGACATTATTACATGGAAGGAGATCCTAAGAATGGGACAGCATAAAATTTATAGCTGTGGAATGAGGGCTTTGATAAATTTTCTAAGGTTATCAGTAGTTGTAAAAGGTATTGATTTAATGGCCCTCTCTGCTTCTTGCTGTCATAAGGGAACCTGAGGTCACCTGGGAAGATCATGATAAGTATCATGTGATGGATATCTTGCTTTGCCACTCTGAATCTGCACCACTATGCTGTCTTCCCCAGGAAACTGACACATGCAGATTATACAGATACCTTCCCTTACTGATTCCTTGTGAGTTCAACCAAACAAAATGAGAGAGAGAAGCGAGCTTAGAGTATTTCCTTGTTTCCTTTTCTGCAGGGTGATCTATTATTCTCTCAACTTAAAGTAACTGCTCCTCTGATGGCAGCTGTCTCTAAAAGATTTTCTTTCTTGGAGATCTGTGTAGAAAAAAAGAAAGCCAACCTTGCCCCTAAAGAAGTCTGACCTTTGCTCTTGATTTCTAGGCAGTCTTCCCTAAACCCTCGGCATGCCCTGCCTGATAGGAATGTCTTTGTTTGCCTGGAGTCCTTAGGCCAGCCAGATAGTAAAATGTGATTTAGGAGAGAGATTTGGGTAATGTTGATATGGTTTGGCTGTGTCCCCACCCAAATCTCATTATTATTATTATTTTGAGACAGAGTCTCACTCTGTCGCCCAGGCTGGAGTGCAATGGCACGATCTCAGCCCACTGCATCCTCTGCCTCCTGGCTTCAAGCGATTCTTCTCAGCCTCCCGAGTAGCTGGGACTACAGGCACTTGCCATCGCACCCGCCTAATTTTTGTAGTTTTAGTAGAGACAGGGTTTCACCATAGTGGTCAGGCTGGTCTTGAACTCCTGACCTTGTGATCCACTCGACTCAGCCTCCCAAAGTGCTGGGATTACAGGTGTGAGCCACCGCACCTGGCTCCAAATCTCATCTTAAATTGCAGTTCCCATAATCCCCGAGTGTTGTGGGAGAGACCTGCTGAGAGGTAATTTAATTATGGGGATGGTTATCCTCATGCTGTTCTCGAGATAGTAAGTACATTCTCACAAGTTCAGATGGTTTTATAAGAGGCCTTTCTCATTTTTGCTTGGCACTTCTCGTTGCTGCCACCATGTGAGGAAGGACATGTTTGCTTCCCCTTTCACCATGGTTGTAAGTTTCCTGAGGCTTTTCCCCAGCCATGCTGAACTGTGAGTTTTCCCCAGCTGTGCTGAACTGCAAGTCAACTAAACCTCTTTCCTTTATAAATTACCCAGTCTTGGGTATGTCTTTATTAGCAGTGTAACAATGGACTAATACAGTAAATTGGTACCAGTAGAGTGGGGTGCTGCCATAAGGATATAAAAAAATATGGACATGACATTGGAACTGGGTAAGAGGCAGAGGTTGGAACAGTTTGGAGGGCTCAGAAGAAGACAGGAAAATGTGGGAAAGTTTGGAACTTCCTAGAGGCTTGGAGGGCTCAGAAGACAAGAAGATGTAGGAATGTTTGTAACTTCCTAGAGATTCGTTGAATGGCTTTGACCAAAATGTTGATAGTGAAATGGAAAATGAAGTCCAGGCTGAGGTGGTCTCAGATGGAGATGAAGAACTTGTTGAGAACTGGAGTAAAGGTCACTCTTGCTATGCAAAGAGGCTGGCAGCATTTTGCCCCTGCCCTAGAGATCTGTGGAACTTTGAACTTGAGAGAGATGATTTAGGGTATCTGGTGGAAGAAATGTATAAGTGGCAAAGCATTCAACAGGAAGCAGGGCATAAAAGTATGGAAAATTTGCAGCCTGGTGATGTGATAGAAAAGCAAACCCCATTATTTCTAGGGAGAAATTAAAGCCAGTTGCAGAAATTTGCATAAGTAGTGAGGAGCCAAGTGTTAATCACCAAGACAGTGGGGAAGATGTCTCTAGGGCATATCAGAGGGCATGAGAGCAGGCCCTTCCATCACAGGCCAGGAGGCCTTGAAGGAAAAAATGTTTGCCTGGGCCAGATCCAGGGCCTCCCTGCTATGTGCGGCTTCGGACCTTGGTGCTCTGTGTCCTAGCCACTCTAGCTATGGCTAAAAGGGGCCAATGTACAGCTCAAGCCTTTGCTTCAGAGGGTGCAAGCCCCAATCTTTGGCAGCTTCTGTGTGGTTTTGCACCTGCAGGTGCACAGAAATCACGAATTGAGGTTTGGGAATCTCCACCTTGATTTCAGAGGTTGTATGGAAATGCCTGGATCTCCAGGCACAAGTCGCTGCAGGGGCGGAACCCTCATGGAGAACCTCTGCTAGGACAGTGCAGAAGGGAAATGTGGGGTCAGAGCCCCTACATAGACTCCCCACTGGGGCACTGCCTAGTGGAGCTCTGAGAAGAGGGCCATGGACCTCCAGACCTGAGAATGGCAGATCCACTGATAGCTTGACCATGAGCCTGAAAAAGCCATAGGCACTCAATGCCAGCTTGTGAAAACAGCCAGGAGGTTGACTTTACTCTGCAAAGCCACAAGAGCAGAGCTGCCCACAGCCATTGGAGCCCAACTCTTGTGTCAGCATGCCCTGGATGTGAGACAGAGTCAAAGGAAATCATTTGGGAACTTTAAGATTTAGTGACTGCCCTATTGGATTCCGGACATTCATGGAGCCTGTAGCCCCTTTGTTTTCACCAATTTCCCCATTTAGAATGGGTATATTTACCCACTGCCTGTACCCCCATTATATCTTGGAAGTAACTAACTTGCTTTGGATTTTACAGGCTCATAGGTGGAAGGGACTTGCATTGTCTCAGACGATACTTTGGACTTGGACTTTTAAATTAATGCCGGAATAAGTTAAGATGTTGGGAGAGTGTTGGAAGAGCACGACTGTGTTTTGAAATGTGAGGACATGAGTCTCAGAAGGGGCCAGGGACAGAATAATATGATTTGGCTGTGTCCCCACTCAAATCTCATCTTGAATTGTAGTTCCCATTATTTCCACGTCATGGGAGGGACCTGATGGGAGTTAATTCAATCATGGGATGGTTACCCTCATGCTGTTCTCATGATAATGAATACATTTTCATAAGATTTGTTGTTGTTGTTGTTGTTTTCAGACGGAGTCTCACTCTGTCACCAAGCTGGAGTGCAGAGGTGTGATCTCAGCTCACTGCAACCTCTGCCTCCTGGGTGCAAGTGATTCTCCTGCCTCAGCCTCGCGAGTATCTGGGACTTCAGGTGCACGTCACCACGCCCAGCTAATTTTTGTATTTTTAGTAGAGATGGGGTTTCACCATGTTGGCCAGGATGATCTTGATCTCTTGACCTCACAATCCACCCGCCTTGGCCTCCCGAAGTGCTGGGATTACAGGCGTGAGCCACTGTACCCGGCCGATTTGTTGGTTTTATCAGGGGCTTTTCCCCCTTTGCTCAGCACTTCTCCTTGGTGCTGCCATGTGAAGAAGGACAAGTTTTCTTCCCCCTCCATCATGATTGTAAGTTTCCTGAGGCCTATCCAGCCATGCTGGACTGTGAGTCAATTAAACCTCTTTCCTTCATAAATTACTCAGTCTTGGGTATGTCTTTATTAGCAGTGTAAGAACAGAGTAATACAAATGCAGTGTCAGATCAAATTCCTCAAGGGCTGGAAATTGAGATCAGCCATGTGGGCAGTCAGTCACGCATATATAATGGAGCCCCAGTGAAGTCACTGGACACCAAAACTTGGATGAGCTTCCATAGTTGGCAATACCCCTTGCATATTATCATATGCCATTTCCAGGAGGAATTAATGCTGCTCTTGTCTCCATGGGGAAAGGACAACTGAAAGATCCTGTTTAGCATTCTCTTATACTGGGCCCAATACATTTCTTTCTCATGATTGATTTTAATTTGCATACTTTCAGTTTTTGAATTGTATTTTTTTCCAAGCATAAATGTTAATATAACAGCTTCTAGAATGTTATTGAAACTGAGGGTGGGTTTTGGGAACCTCTAAACTTGTAATTGCTGTTAAAAGTGAGGCTGGTCTTGTGAACTGTTCTCTAATTTTCAGTTAGCTACTTGTGCAGTTGGCATCCAAAGTGTGACTCAATAGAAAATTCCTGAGTCACTGAAACATGTGGTTTGGGAAAAGGTAGAATGATAAATCTTTGAGTTGTTTCTTGCCGTATTTTGCTTCATTCAGCAATAAATTGGCTAATTTTAATTGTATTATTTAGCGGTAATAAATGATCAACTGTGAGTATGACAATTTGTAGTGAATCTGTGAATCTTATGAACGAATGTTCAAACCTAAGGTTGGTTTGGGAACCCTTTAACCTTGCAGTATGTACCAGAAGTGATGGGTGATGGTACTATTGTGGACCATTCACCCTCTGAACTTCACAGGGTATCTGTAATTTCTGTATCCTCTTGTCACTTATTAGTTCCAATGATACATTGTTAACCCTTAGAATGTCTGTATGCTTATCCCAAATCTTTGTAAAAATGTACTTCTGTTAAAATATCATCAAATTGTCCTAAGCTGTGGATGCATTTCTTTTCTGCTGACACCCTAACAACTGTATATTTCAGTCTTTCTTTTTAAATTCAATACATATAATTAAGAATTAATTTTTGTGTGTTATGTGTAACAGTTATGTTATTCATATTTTTTAAAAGTTAAGTGACATTGTCTACATACACACTCATACCTGTAGGTATGTGTGCATCCCTCAAAATCTGTTCAGGTGAATACTCCCAACATGCTTCTATACTTTGTCAGTGATTTATTACTTTATAAATTGTAACTGTATTTATATTTTTCAAATGTATATAATGTAAGACTCTCCTTATGAATACTGATTGGAAAATATCTCACAAATTCATGGGGATTTATCTTGATAAGTTTAACAAATTTATATGTAATAATTTAAAAAAGATATAAAAGGCCGGGCGCGGTGGCTCATACCTGTAATCCCAGCACTTTGGGAGGCTGAGGCAGGTGGAACTCTTGAGGTCAGGAGTTCAAGACCAGCCTGGCCAATGTGGCAAAACCCCGTCTCTACTAAAAATACAAAAATTAGCCGGGCGTGGGAGTGCATGCCTGTAGTCCCAGTTACTTGGGAGGCTGAGACAGGAGAATTGCTTGAACCCAGGAAGCAGAGGTTGCAGTTAGCTGAGATTATACCACTGCACTGCAGCCTGGGTGACAGAGCAAGACTCCATCTCAAATAAATAAATAAATGAATATGTATAAAATAAAAACATTTTAATATATCTATTAAAAAATGGAATTTTGAGGCAATTGACAGGTTATACTATTTGAACATTCTACCAGAACAAGTATAAATCACAATTTTCCCCAAATTTACCTAAAATTTTCAATGCTTAGCATAAATCTTCATAGAAGTCTTAAATGTTTGCAATTAAATTAATGTGTACACATTTATGCTTTAACTGTTTTTGTGGCTATTCCTTCAAAATATCCAGAATATAAAAAGTAATTTTTGCATATTTTAGTGAAATATCTTATTAAACTTCCACATTGTAACGCTTTAAGATAAATATATCTCCTTCTTTTAAACAGAACTATTTTCCCCATTTAAATTTTGCTGATACATCTGTCAGGCCATGGTTAAATAATGGTGGTGTTGGCTGGCATTCTTGTCTTATCCTGGTTTTAAAAGAAATGCCTCATGTTTTGATATTATCATGTTTATGACTGATTTAAAACAGTTGTAACATAGTGTTTAAAAATTACCTGAAAGCTTTTACAAAGTATTGTGGGGTTCTCTGAAGATTATTCTTAGTATTTACTGAGATAATCCTCTAAATTTTCTCTTTTGATATATTTACATGATATAGTATATTCAGAAATGAAGATAACATGGTCCAGGTGCGGTGGCTCAGGCCTGTAATCCCAGCACTTAGGGAGGCTGAGGCGGGCAGATCATTAGAGGTCAGTAGTTCAAAACCAGCCTGGCCAACATGGCGAAACCCTGTCTCTACTAAAAAATACAAATTAGCTGGGTGTGTGGCATGTGCCTATAATCCCAGCTACTCAGGAGGATGAGGCAGGAGAATCACTTGAACCTGGGAGTTGGAGGTTGCAGTGAGCCGAGATTGTGCCACTGCACTCCAGCCTAGACAACACAGTGAGACTCTGTCTCAAAAAAAAAAAAAAGAAAAAAGAAAAAATAACATGAATGAAAACTCAGTATATTTTGAGTGCTTAATATGAGCTAGACATTGCATAAGCATCAATTCACTAATATTAAATCTTTCTGGCATTTCTGGAGCAATGTTAATTGTGTTCAGTTTCAATATCTGGGTGTGTTTAATACTTATTCTATTTATGATTATTTTTATTTTGACCCTGAGTAGGAAGTTAGATATTTAATATTTTTTCAAAAGTAATTCAAAAGTAGAAAAATATTTTATTAAGTATTGACTTTAAAAATGGTTTTTACATGTTCACTAGAGTCTTAATAGTCTGTGTCTTTTCCACTGACTGTTTTCATCTATAACATACTTATTTGTATTTCAGACTCAACCCTAATTATATTTAACTGAGGAAATGTGTTAGACATGAACATCCAATGTAGCAAAGATGCCTAGAAGGTGTCAGTATGGAGACTAGGGGGCCTTTTGGAGACAAATTTCTAAGGAAATTGAGCTTAACCAGTTCAATTCAACTATCTGCCTCTAGGTTGGCCCTATACACCAACCCTAATGGCCTAAAGTCTTTTACGTATAAAAATGTTACCAATGGAGGCTGTCCAGGTTCTTGGCGCTTTAAACAAAGAATTGAACAAAACACACAAACAAGGCAAGGAAAGAATGAAGTGAAAAAAACAGACTTATTGAAAATGAAAGCACACTGCACAGGGTGGGAGCCAGCCTGAGCAAGTGGCTCAACAACCTTGTTACAGAATTTTCTGGGATTTAAATACCTTCTAGAAGGTTCCATTGGTTAATTGGCATATGCTCTATGTAAGTGAAGAGGCTAAAATGAAGTTACGAAGTGATTTACTTGGTGTACATCCTATGTAAATAAAGAAGATAAAGTAAAGTTACAAAGCCATTTACTTGGTGTACGCTCTATGTAAATAAAGACGATATTTCCTGTCATAGCTGAAGTGTTTCCCTTTTAGTTCTAGGAAGTCCTTAGGTTCCCTGCCTCAAATGGTTAATAAAATCCTACATAAAACCCTGGAATTAAAAAAAAAATTCATTTCATGAATTTTCCTGTTTTCAATGTATGACCACCACTGTTTTATCACAACAGTGTCTGTGGCATCAGAGATGCTGTTAATGGTGGTGGGAGCACATCAAGAAAAAAATAGGGTGGAAGTGCTGGCATCTGTGTCAGCACTAATGCCAGCAGTGGCAGTGCACCCCCAGTGTCCTCATGTGCCTCCAGGGCAGAGGTCACTGCACTTAACCTCAGACACTGTTCCACGGGGGAAGCCAGTGCCTTTATTGGACATTGGTAGTAACTAAATCCTACATTATCTTGGCAGGCAATAAAGGACTCATGAACATGAGTAACCTGAGAAAATAAGGAAGAACTGGCAACAACCCAAATAATGAGTTTTCATCGAACTCTGAGGGAGCCTTTAAATATTGACTCCTTAAAATATTTGAGAGAGTAGGGAGAGATGTAGCTGCATGGATGCTCTTGAGTGGCTCGAATGCTACACTTATTTTCCCTAGGATTCAGTGTTCTGAGAAAAGAAGGTTGCAGATTGAAACTTCTGCACCTTGGCTTGGGGCCCTACCCTCTCAACAAAAGACCCAAGAGGGATATATTTAATGAAAAGAACTCTGGATTGTACAAATATAAATATTTAAAATTACTTTTAAGATATTGACCAAATAGTATTCATAGGTGCATGTACGTAACTGCATACACACATATGCACACACAGAGGCTAGAATTTCTAAGTATTTACAGTATTTAGAATTGAAGAGAAATGATGAAACAAAATATCCTGTTAAGGTCTACTATAAAGCTCAAGTTCTTCTTTTTATCATGATATTTGGAAGTAAGTATTCATAGTAAGGAAACAATTTAAATAAGATTGAATGTAATAAATAAAGGTTTCCCTTAGGCATTTTTGCACAAGCCAAATTGTAGAGAAGGGACACAAATAACACAGACAAGTTTAGGTTGTGTTTCTGAATTTTAAAAAGTAGAAAATCTCAGTGCCTCATTCATGATACTGCTACTGAAACACCAGGCGTTCGGTCTAGGTCTTGTTGCTTGCCAACACAGAAAACCAATGACAGAAAATGAGTATTGTCAAGGAAGAAGGCTTTAAGCAGGTGCTGCAGCTGAGAAGATGGGAGCTCAGTCTCAAATCCATTTCGTGACCCACTAAAACCAGGGGTTTATATAGCAGGACAAAAATGTAACAATGTTAAAAAAATAAGTACTAGGGAGGAGCAAGGAAGCAATCATGATGAATGACGGGTTCTGACCTCTTATAGGTGCTCTGATATGGTGAGTTTCAGTTCTTTGAGACTTTTTTTTTTTGAGAAGACTGAAGGTTGTTTCCTGAGGAAGAAACTCAGAAAAAAAATACAATCTTCAACCTTTATGACCAGAAGGATCAATGTATATGTTTATCACAATCAATGGGACTATTGAATCAGTTTCAATATGATGAAGATGAACCTCTAGAATTATCTGATTCAATGATTTAAAAATATCTAACAATCAGTTAAAATATGATGAGAACAGCAATTTCTCAATAAAATAGATAGCTGGATAGATCAATTGGTAGATAGGTGGGTGGGTGCTTACATGTGAAAGAAGGAAGGAAGCAAGGGGGAAGGGAAGGGAAGGGAAGAAAAGGAAGGGAAGAGAAGGGAAGGGGAGGGGAGGGGAGGGCAAGGCTTTCCTATCTAGTGCTCAAGTATTAAAAGAACCATTTTGTTTCATTTCAATTCAATTTTGTTTGATATGAGTTGAGTCTATTCAACTTGACATGATTTATTCAACAAATATTTTTGTGAAGTCATGAAAGAGTAGAAAGTCTTGGCTTTCATGTGTTCAATTTAAATACCACTAAGATCAGATCATAAGAATCTGAAATACTAGAAATGATAAACAGCCAAGTAGCAATGGAATGAATCTTTCTACATGCAGAAGCTTCTAACACTTGTACAAAGGCTAGAGATGTACAGTCAGGAGGCTTAGGATATCTAATTCTGCTAATGATGGGATAGAAAGGATCTTAGCTTTGGTGTCATATTGTGTATGTTATCAGTATTTGCAGGAACTTGGGCAAATTAACTGACTTTTTAAACCTCAACTTTCTAATCTGATTAATGAGGATAATAATCTCAGGATTTTTGTGACAGTCAATTCAGGTAATGTGAGGAAAACCCTTAGACAAAGGCATTATGGAATATAATAAACACTCTACAAAGTGTAGCAGATAAAACAAACAAAAACAAGGAGTTATTAGAGGTACCCTGTCTTTTATCCTTTCTCACTATAAATTTCATTTTATAAAATTTAGAGATTAAACTAGGGTTCTTAGAATACTAACTGAAGTTCCTTCTCACTGTTAAAATACTATTTATTTTATTTTTGTCAACATGCTATTGTGGTATCTATCTACCTATCTTCTATCTATATGTGTGTGTGTGTATATACATATATACACACACATATATATAGATACTATATATATAGATACTATATATATAGATACTATATATATAGATACTATATATAGATACTATATATAGATACTATATATATAGATACTATATATATATATAGATAGATACTATATATATCTCTGTGTGTCTGTCTTTCAAGTGAGCAAAGGGGGGTGGGAAAGAGAGCCTGGCTTTTGGAAAGACATCTGTACAAAAATGCTGAGCAAATATTATTTGCTTTATTGATTCACACATACTACTGAGAGGTGACAGCGTGCTGGCAGCCCTCGCAGCCCTTGCTCGCTCTCAGCACCTCCTTGACCTTGGTGCCCACTCTGCCCATGCTCGAGGAGCCCTTCAGCCCGCCACTGAGCTGTGGGGGCCCCTCTCTGGGCTGGCCGAGGCCGGGGCCATCTCCCTCTGCTTGCGGGGAGGTGTGGAGGGAGAGGCGTGGGCAGGAACTGGGACTGCGCGTGGTGCTTGCGGGCCAGGGGGAGTTCTGGGTGGGCGTGGCCTTGGCAGGCCCTGCACTTGGAGCGGCTGGCTGGCACCGCTGGCCCTGGGCAGTGAGGGGCTTAGCACCCGGACCAGAAGCTGCGGAGGGTGCGCCAGGTCCCCCAGCAGTGCCGGCCCACTGGCGCTGCACTCAAATTCTTGCGAGGCCTCAGCTGCCTCCCCAGCCTGCCATGCCTGAACCTCCCCTGGACGCCGTGGGCTCCTGTGCCGCCCAAGCCTCCCCAAGGAGTGCTGCCCCCTGCTCCGTGGTACCCGGTCCCATCGACCACCCAAGGGCTGAAAAGTGTGGGCACACGGTGTGGGACTGGCAGGCAGCTCCACCTGTGGTCCCAGTGCAGGATCCACTAGCTGAAGCCAGCTGGGCTCCTGAGTCTTGTGGGGACTTGGAGAACCTTTATGTCTAGCTAAGGGATTGTAAATACACCAATCAGCACTCTGTGTCTAGCTCAAGGTTTGTAAATGCACCAATCAGTGCTCTGTGTGTAGCTAATCTAGTGGGGACTTGGATAACTTTTGTGTCTAGCTAAGGGATTGTAAATACACCAATCAGCACTCTGTGTTTAGCCCAAGGTTTCTAAATGCACCAATCAGCACCCTGTGTCTAGCTCAAGGTTTGTAAATGCACCAATCAGTGCTCCATGTCTAGCTAATCTAGTGGGGACTTGGAGAACTTTTGTGTCTAGCTCAGGGATTGTAAACGCACCAATCAGCACCCTGTCAAAACAGACCAATCAGCTCTCTGTAAAATGGACAGATCAGCAGGATGTGGGTAGGGCCAGATAAGGGAATAAAAGCAGGCTGCCTGAACCAGCAGTGGCAACCCGCTGGGGTCCCCTTCCACACTGTGGAAGCTTTGTTCTTTTGCTCTTTGCAATAAATCTTGCTGCTGCTCACTCTTTGGTTCCGCACTGCCTTTATGAGCTGTAACACTCACGGGAAGGTCTGCAGCTTCACTCCTGAGGCCAGCGAGACCACGAACCCACCAGAAGGAAGAAACTCTGAACACATCCAAACATCAGAGGGAACAAACTCCGGACACGCCACCTTTAAGAACTGTAACACTCACCACGAGGGTCCACGGCTTCATTCTTGAAGTCAGTGAGACCAAGAACCCACCAATTCCGGACACACTATTCTTTTTAATTGTGATAGGGCTTATTTTCACTCTGTTGTTGCAAGTTAAAATTTATAAATGAAAGTTGGACCAGAATAAACAATGTATTAATGACGTCTGTGGCATGAGGATTCTATTGTTTTGCTTTGGTTTACAAATAAACCAAGATGATATATCATACAATCTTTGAATTTCAAAGCATTTGAACAACCTTTTAAATCCAACTATCTCATTATTTTCTATTTAAAATGTCTTTGCAAATATTCCTTGCCCCCATGATGGCCAGGTATTAAGTAGTGATGAATGTACTAAATGGTGGCATGCTTAAGTAGATTACAGAAGAAAGAACAGCATTGTCTATAAGCTAAATAGAGGAAGAAAATGTTCAAAATAAGGCTTTATTGCTAGAATGAGGATTGCTAAAATCCAAGGTACAGGAAATGTATAGTTTTGTCATTTTTTAAAAAAGAGTGAGCAGCTTTATTTTGGGATTTCCACGAAAAGATACATATTAAACTTAAGCTGGGATTTTCAATATCCAATTAATTTTAAATACAAGTTGGCCCATTAAAAACAGCCTGTTTAGCTTAGCTTTAAATATATTCTATTTTTTAGTATAGAGTTAAAGAATTCTGCTGTCTCTTAATCAAAGATGACACTCACTTGAGAGTTATTATCTGTACCTGAATGTGGCTAAACCTGAATCGTCTCAGACTTTTCTACTGATTATGTGTAATATTCTGTGCAGCTCATCTATTAGAGATACATACTGCGAGGTAATCTGAAAAATATACAAAGAAATAAACTGTTTTCCCTATTGCCTATCTAGCGCTCAAGTATTAAAAGAACCATTTTGTTTCAATTCAATTCAATTCTGTTTGATATGAGTTCAGTCTATTCAACTTGACTTGATTTATTCAACAAATATTTTTATGAAGGCATGAAAGAGTAGAAAGTCTTGGCTTTCATGTGTTCAGTTTAAATACCACTAAGATCAGGATAATGGGTTTCACTCCATTATAAGACTACTTGAGAAGACCTCTTAGAATAGGTGTCATTTAAACTGTGGTTTGAAGAAAGGGTAGTGCTGACAATAGCAAATTGGGAGACAGATCACTGTTGGCAGATAATCAGTTAAAACAAAGCCCTGATCCTAGCTAGGGAGGGCTGGAATGCTCTGAAACAGAACTCAGACCTGTAGATATAAGAAAGAGATGACTGGGCATAGTAGCTCACTCCTGTAATCTCAGCACTTTGGGAGGCCGAGGCGGGTGGATCATGAGGTCAGGAGATCGAGACCACCCTGGCCAACATGGTGAAACCCCGTCTCTACTAAAAGTACAAAAATTAGCTGGGTGTGCTGACGCACACCTGTGATCCCAGTTACTCGGTAGGCTGAGGCAGGAGAATCGCTTGAACTTGGGAGGCAGAGACTGCAGTGAGCCGAGATCGTGCCACTGCACTCCAGCCTGGCAACAGAGTGAGACTCCGTCTCAAAATAAATAAATAAATAAAAATAAAAATAAAAAAAAGAAAGAGAAGATATGGCCTCAGTGTAGAAAATATTTGAGACTCCAATTTTGGTGGGTCAGGTGCCAGACTAGTAGTTATACTTAGTGCTGGAGACCATCAGGAAACCAAAGAGGGACATGGAGTGATTGTTCTGGAAGAAAATAATGCCAGAGATATAGGCATGATTAAGTATGAAGAGTCTACAGAACAAGATATAAACTTTAAAACACTGCCATTGGTTCAAGTTAGAAGGCTAAGGGTCTGGAATTAACTCTTAGCTGACTTTGGCACACTGGATCTTCGAAGTGTATTTGCTTCCAAGCAATCATTCATTCATGCTGCTGCTCCATTCTTTGAGATCTATAGTCAAACAGCCTTTCAAATCCCAACATTTCCCACCTGTTCCATATTTCCTCCTGTAATTGCAACCTTGCTTGGCACATAGTTATACATTAGGTGTTCAAGAAATGTAATATTGTAAGAGGGAATAATGTAAATTGTTCCCTCTCGAAATGTTTTACCATCCACAGCTTGTGCTGCTCAGTTTCTAATGCATTTTTATCATTTTATATGTGCTAGTTTTAGATCTCAGAAAGGTGTCCAAATTTAAGGTAGTACTATGGACCGAATTGTGTCCCCCAAAAGTTCGTATGTTGAAGCCCTAACCCCCGGTATGATGATATTTGGAGATGGAGCCTTTTGGAGGTTATTGGGTTTAAATGAGGGTGCAGTTCTCATGACGAGATTAGTGTCCTTATAAGAGGAGACTAGAGAGTTTCCTCTAGCTCTCATCTGTGTCTGTCTTTCTCTACAGGTACGAAGATATAGAAAGAAGGTAGCCTCCTGTGAGAAAGAAGGCCCCCCCTAGAGCCTGGCCATGCTGGCACCATGATCTCAGATTTCCCAGCCTCTAAAACTGTGAGAAATAAATGCTGTTTAGGCTGCTTTGTCTATAGTATTTTATTATGGGAGTCTGAACTGAGCAAGATGGAGATTATGTCTCCTATCTTTGTCTAACTATTGCTGGAAAGGAAATTCATTATATGCTAGGGCAATTAGCTCATAGAATATGTATATGATACTAAACAATATTTTTCAGAGATTGGTTTGAATTGATAATATGATACAGCAACTCTGAAGAAAATTTTAGGCTGGGCGTGGTGGCTCATGCCTGTAATCCCAGGGATTGATATCAAATCTTGTACCTAGCTTCAAAAAAAAAAAAAAAAGAAAGAAAGAAAGAAAAAAGAGGCCGGGTGCGGTGGTTCATGCCTGTAATCACAGAACTTTGGGAGGCCAAGGCGGGCGGATCACGAGGTCAGGAGATCAAGACCATCCTGGCTAACACAGTGAAACCCCGTCTCTACTAAAAATACAAAAAATTAGCCTGGTGTGCTGGCGGGCGCCTGTAGTCCCAGCTACTCGGGAGGCTGAGGCAGGAGAATGGCGTGAACCCAGGAGATGGAGCTTGCAGTGAGCTGAGATCGTGTCACTGCACTGCAGCCTGGGCAACAGAGTGAGACTCTGTCTCAAAAAAAAAAAAAATAAAATAAAAGAATATTCTCCATATTTGTCTTAATGCTTTAAAGGAATTATTTTTATATTTGGGTTTGATTTCTTTTTCAACCACGTATGTCTGAACCCCTGATTCCAAATCATGAGTTGGCTTTTCACACTGTCTTTGGAATGCTTAGATACGCAGAATTTTTTATCATTTTAAGTTGAGGAATTTCTGAAATTTGTTGGTTCATATTTTTTTGTGTTTTAGCATAAATACCTTAAAATAATAAAGATAATCCCTTCACTTATTATCTGAAGACGTTAGAATTTTACTTAGTGTGCTGGATTATTTGCTCTTAACTTGTTATCATTGTCTCATTCTTCCAATGTCTCTTTTACAACTAGAAACTGCATTTGCCAGAATTCCCTTTCCTATGTAGATTCAGGATACTTAGTGAGATGCAAAAAGACTTCTAAATAAGTGGTTGAGAGCCATTTGATTTGACAGTTGTTAGGAACTTTTTCAGATTCCTGAGAGTTGCAGCTGTTCTTGGATAAGCTTTTGAGAACCAGAAACTTTGATGCTTCAGGCTGAAGTCGCCAATGTCTGCTTTTCAGACCTTCAAGTTGTTGCTTCCATAACCTTCCCTGGCACCTTCCATGACTTTCACTCTTCTTTCTCTTCCAACATTTCTGCCAGGCATAATTAAACTCTTTATTACCATAATAGTTAGAGTGCCTCTTTGATGTGTCTAGATGTGGAATCCTAATTTATGTATTCTGTTTGGGACTCACTGGGTTTCCCGAAGCTGAGTATTATTGTCTTTTATCTCTCCTGGAAAATTCTCAACCATTACCTTCCCAAATATTAACTCTATGCTTTTCTCTCTCTTCCTTTACATTTCAAATTAGTTTTAGTTAGAATTTATTTATTTTTCAGTAATTTTCTCTCTTTCCTTTACTTTGGAAAATTTCATTAGGGCTATCTTCCAGTTCATTATTTTTCCTCAGTTTGGTTTTACTGACTATTGACCCCATCCATAACTTTTTTTTTTAAAAAAAAGCAAAAACAATATCATGTACTGGCGTGTAACACACATGTAGAACAATGAATAAGGCATACATGTCAGCTTGATGAAAAATACCACCCAGATTGAAAAAACAAAACAGGGATGTGTAAGCTCCACAGCACCCTAGAACGCATCCCCAGGGTTCTCTCTAAAGATAAAAACTCTCTTGAATTTTAAAAGAGTTGTTACAGATTAGTTTTGTCCACATCTGAACTTTGTATAAATTAAATCACAATCTCTGTATTCTTCAGTATCTGGCTCCTTTTATTTCATCTGGCTTCTGTCATTTAAAATTATGTGCTTTTTAATGAATACATCGAAAAAATTTATTTTTATTTTATTTTATTATTTATTTTTTTGAGATGGAGTCTAGCTCTGTCGCCCAGACTGGAAGTGCAGTGGCGCGATCTCAGCTCACTGCAAGCTCCACCTCCCGGGTTCATGCCATTCGCCTGCCTCAGCCTCCCAAGTAGCTGGGACTACAGGCGCCTGCCACCACACCTGGCTAATTTTTTGCATTTTTAATGGAGATGGGGTTTCACCATTTTAGCCAGGATGGTCTCAATCTCCTGACCTTGTGATCTGCCTGCCTCGGCCTCCCAGAGTGCTGGGATTACAGGTGTGAGCCACCACGCCTGGCCTATTTTTTCTTTCTACTATTGATAACCATTTGGATTATTTCTAGTTTTGGACTGTTTTAAATAACACTGTTTGGAATATTCTTGAATATGTCTTCCATAAATAAATCTATACATCCAGCTTTCTTGCAGTTTCTAACTTTATTTTGTTTATTTATTTATTTGCATCTGGTCATAGTTTCATCTAAAATACACTTTTACTACTTTATCCAAATATCAAATATTATTTACCTAGATTACTTACATAGAGAAAATCAATCAGGCATGTGGGGCATGTGCCTTATGGTACTTTTAGAAATATTAATAGAAGTTGTCCAGGAAGTCTTTGTTTGTTTAAATGAGACAGAGTCTCGCTCTGTTGCCCAGGCTGGAGTACAATGCCACAATCTCGGCTTACTGCAACCTCTGCCTCCTGGGTTCAAGCATTTCTTGTACCTCAGCCTCCTGAGTAGCTGGCATCACAGACGTGTGCCACCACGCCTGGCTAATTTTTGTTATTTTTAGTAGACACAGGGTTTCACCATGTTGCCCAGTCTAGCCTTGAACTATTGACCTCAGGTGATCCGCCTGTCTCGGCCTCCCAAAATTCTAGGATTACAGGCGTGAGCCACTGTGCCTGCTCAGAAAGTCTTTAATAAAAGGCTACCTAAGCATTTTTTGTCCATGAACACTTTGAGTATCTGATGACAATGATGTACATTCTCCCTTGAAAAATGCACAGTCATCCACCCACACTCACTTAGTTTCTCATGAATACATAAGGATGTAATTCTGCACACAATTTTAGGAAGTTTATGGATAACCTGAAGTTTAGTTGTAGACTAAATAGACATTCTTCACCCTGGTTAAGAACTGTGCTTAAGTGATTTACTTATCCCATCTTTCTTGTGCTTGTCTTCAGTAAAGACTTTTATTTTGAATCGATCCAATCAACACCAGCAATTTCCACCCTTCCAATATACCAAGCATTACTTCTGCGTAGTGTATAATATGGTTACTTTCTATTTTATATATTTATCGCTCTCATATACACATGTGGAATATGTATTTTTAATATTAAATCTACATTAAAATTAAGGGAGCTGAGGCTCATTGAGGTTTGATCATGGCCATGGAATCTTACAGTTAATTAATGATTATGCCAGTACTTTTTTCTTTCTAGCTTTAGATCCACAGAATTAGAAATCTGCCATCACTTTCACAACCTAAATGAGGAAAGGAGTCTCCTTGAAAGCAGTAAAAATAATAGTCTGTATGTGATTAGTCCCAAATGATTAAGTAATATAATACACCCAGATAGAAATCTGTGGAAGAAGCTACTTCTATGAAAGAGGGGAGTAGTGTTTGAAATAGGGCTAGTTAGTGCTGATTTTCTATTCCCTAAGAACACATCAAGGTCAGGCAATCAAATATATAGAGAGATATACACGCATTTATATTCATGAATATACATGCACTCACATATATATTCATAAATATATATGCACACATTATTCATAAATATATAAGCTTATTTAACATAAGTGACATATAGTTAATTTTATAACTATTAATACATATCCATATCAGTAAATAAAACATAAAAAAATAAAATATAAGTAAAGTTTAGAAGTGTCTGAATATTTTTCTGCCTGTCAGTGATATTTCCAAACGGAGCTAAATAAAGTAAAAGCATAAAAGAATACATAACTGTATTAGTGGGTCTGCTGTATTCAATGACCCCAGATGTAGAGCTACAGTAAGCCTAGCATATTAGTTATCTACTGCTGCATAGCACATCACCATGAAATTTAGGGACTTAAAACAAGAAACATTTATTATCTCACAGTTTCTCTGAGTCAGGAATTTGGCATGGCTTAGCTGGGTGCTTCTGGCACAAGGTATCTTAAGAAGTTTCAGTTAAGCTGTCAGCTGGGGTAGTACTTTTTATCTGAAGGCTCATCGAGTAAGGATCTGCTTCTAAGCTTACTTAGGAGTTTGTTGGTAAGATATAACTTTTCCCTGGTGCTTTCACTGAAAGACTGAGTTTCTCTGTGGCTGTGGGCTGAAGGCTTCCCTCAGTTCCTCACCATATAGGACTTTCCATAGGGAAATTCACAGTATGGCAGTTGGTTTACCCAAAGCAAGCAAGTGTGTGAGAGAAGGCATCCAAAGGGAAATCCCGTCTTTTTTTTCCAAACTAATTACAGAAATAGCATTCCATTACTTTTGCAGTATTACACTTGTTAGCAGTGAGTCACTAGATCCAATCCATGCTCAAGGGGAGGAGAATACAGAAAGGCATAAAAGCCAGAAGGCAGAGATCGCTGGACACCATCTCAGAGGCTGTCTACAACACCTGGCTTGGACCAGACAGCTTATTCTTGGACCTAATCATGGGCCTTATTCTATTAAATTTGAATCTGAATTTTGTGTTGCATATATTCTGGTTGGCCACGTTACAATAAATCAAAACAATAATGTTAGTTATTGGATCAAATTGAGCCAGTGCCATGGAAGAAGAATTTCATTTTTCTTTTTTTAAGGTAGAGAGTACCTGCACGTCTTTTAACAAAGTGGTTCTTTCTACTAGCAAAAATGATCCATTTAATCCAATTAGTTGAACTCAATTACTTAACTCCCTCTTTAGTAGGGAGAAGGCTTGAAGAGGATTGGAAAAGAGGAACAGTGCAATGTAAGTGGTCTCTCCTATACAAGTTAGCATTTCCCAGTAGAAATTCTATGAAACATCCCACTAACATAAGTGGATAAGGGTGAATGGGGAAGATGATTTTAGTATTGCCTAAATAATATGTTTTAATAAATACAGAAACTACTTTTTAAATATATCTTACTCTCCAGGCTCAAACTAGCTGAATACCTATTACTTGAATACCTAGTCTTCCATCCGACCCTTTGTAAAAAAACAAAAATATTATGTTTATATTGAGCTCCAGGGAAAGATTTCCACATTAGTGGACACACGTGTCAGATGACTTTAAATTGGAAAACAAGACAAAACAGAATTTTTCAAATAAAAAAGTACATAAAGAGTTATGAAAGACTGTTATGGCTGTGACTAAAGATGAAAAAAATGAGATGTTGAAAATGTATGATTGTGGGAAAAATATTTTTTCTATGGTAGTACACTACAAATAATGATAACAACATTAATCTATCCCTATGTGCATGTCCCTTTACAATGTGATTTTCTAGCCCCTCAAATAAACAGTGGAGTACATTTCTTTATCCCTTGAGTTTGGGCTGGCCTTGTTTTAACCAATAGAATGCAGAAGAAGTGAAAGTGGGTCAGTTTTGGCCCAGATTTCAAGAGTCTTTACAGCATCTGTTTATGTTCCCTTCACAACTGCTGATTCTATGTGAAAAAAGTCTGGTTTGGCCTGCTGTATAAAGAGAGACACACGGGCTAGCCAATTTTTTGACCCTTGCCAACAGCCTTCCAACTGCCAGATAAGTGAGCAAGGTCTTGCTACACCAACCAATCACCAGTGTTCTACCAGCAACCAGCAAACACAAGAACAAGCTCAGTAGAGATTGGTTCCATCATTCCATACTTAAAAAAAAACAACATACAAACAAAAAAAAATTTAGCTGACCTACAGAATGATGAGATATATAAAAGGATGGTGTTTTAGGATACTCAATTTTGGTATGGTTTCTATACTATAAAAATTAATTGAACATCTATCAAAATAACAAATTGTTGTAATATAGGCTGGTTTTAGCCCCGTGTCATCTTAAAATAGTCTTTCCTGTACATTCCATGTACATATTCCAAGTACTATAGAAATAACCTATGTAAGACCATTCACAGTTTTATAAACCTCACTTCCTTATGAAGTAAGGAAAACGGAATAGGCCACTTTTTGTTTCTCTATTTTAGACCCACATAACGCTGAGTTCCTTTTCAAGCCAACTTACCTATACTAACACTTGCCAAAATATGAGGTTCTCAGAATGTTAATGTCTTCCAAAGTCTTAGTGGCATAAGCATCACCTATCCTCTGATTAACTTTACATTTCTAATGAGCTATTATTTTTATTTGCAGGCACCTGTAATTCTATGGATCCTAATAAATACATACCCAGGGGAGTTACTATGCTTACTCAAATGCTCACCTTTACGTCGGTGGGTCCTAAATGTTACAGTACATTGGAATCAACTGGGGATCTTTACAAAAGTCCCTGGCTCCAGCCCCCAGACATTCTGATACAAATGACTTGGAGCTCAATATGGGCATTGGGATTCTTAAAATTTCCTTAATATAATTTTAATGTGCAGCAAGGCTTAAAATCTACTGCTTTTAGCTCAGTCTGTGCCTCTGCAACCCAGCTGCACCATTAGACTGTTAGCCAAGGCAGGGAGCTCCCTCAAAGAGTGGCAGGTGTGTATATATGTATGTGTGAGTTCCACTCCAGATAAATTAACCCATGGGTTTTACAAACTTTGTTTTTTTATTATCCTTTAAGTTCTGGGATACATGTGCAGAACGTGCAGGTTTGTTACATAGGTATACATGTGCCATGGTGGTTTGCTGCACTCATCAACCCATCATCTACATTAGGTATTTCTCCTAAAGTTATCCCTCCCCTTGCCCCGCAGCCTCCAACAGGCCCTGGTTTGTGATGTTCCCCTCCCTGTGCCCATATATTCTCATTGTTCAGCTCCCACTTATGAGTGAGAACACGGTGTTGTTTGGTTTTCTGTTCCTGTGTTAGTTTGCTGAGAATGATGGTTTCCAGCTTCATCCATGTCCCTGCAAAGGACATGAACTCATCCTTTTTATGGCTGCATAGTATTCCAGGGTGTATATGTGCCACATTTTCTTTATTCAGTCTATCACTGAAGGGCATTTGGATTGGTTCCAAGTCTTTGCTATTGTGAACAGTGCAGCAAGAAAAATGTATGCATGTGTCTTTAGAGTAGAATGATTTATAGTCCTTTGGGTATATACCCAGTAATGGGATTGCTGGGTCAAATGGTATTTCTAGTTCTAGACCCTTGAGGAATCGCCACATTGTCTTCCACAAAGGTTGAACTAATTTACAGTCCCACCAACAGTGTAAAAGCATTCCTATTTCTCCACATCCTCTCCAGCATCTGTTGTTTCCTAGCTTTTTAATGATCACCATTCTAACTGGCATGAGATGGTATCTCATCGTGGTTTTGATTTGCATTTGTCTAATGACCAGTGATGATTAGCTTTTCTTCATAACTTTGTTGGCTGCATAAATGTCTTCTTTTGAGAAGTGTCTGTTCATATCCTTCACCTACTTTTTGATGGTTTTTTTTTTCTTGTAAATTTAAGTTCCTTCTAGATTCTGGATATTAGCCCTTTGTCAGATAAGTAGATTGCAAAAATGTTCCCCCATTCTGTAGGTTGCCTGCTCACGCTGATGATAGTTTCTTTTACTGCGCAGAAGCTCTTTAGTTTAATTAGATCCCATTTGTTGATTTTGGCTTTTGTTGCCATTACTTTTGGTGTTTTAGTCACGAAGTCTTTGCCCATGCCTATGTCCTGAATGGTATTGCCTAGGTTTTCTTCTAGGGTTTTTATGGTTTTAGGCCTTATATTTAAGTATTTAATCCATCTTGAGTTAATTTTTGTATAAGGTGTAAGGAAGGGGTCTGTTTCAGTTTTCTGCATATAGCTAGCCAGTTTTCCCAACACCATTTACTAAATAGAGAATCCTTTCCCCATTGCTTGTTTTTGTCAGGTTTGTCAAAGACCACATGGTTATAGACGTGTGGTGTTATTTCTGAGGCCTCTGTTCTGTTCCACTGGTCTATATATCTGTTTTGGTACCAGTACCATGCTCTTTTGGTTACTGTAGCCTTGTAGTACAGTTTGAAGTCAGGTAGCATGATGCCTCCATCTTTGTTCTTTTTACTTAGGATTGTTTTGGCTATACGGGCTCTTTTTTATTACCTAATCTGAATACTCTTGAATATTTACATTATAGTAGGCCAAAGAGACAGTAGCTATCTACTTTATAATGCTCTTTCTTCAATAAAACATTTAATTAATGACCACCCTTTTTATCTACCACTGAGTGCTACATTTTAACCCACATGGGTAGGTGGGTAATCTCTATTGACCACCAGAACTTGACACCGTACTCATAACTAACAGCAGCAAAGACTGTAAAGAAGATACATCTTTCTGCTTAATAAAGAACACCTGCTGTTATATCCATTTGTGTGCCTGAGTATTGTTCAGTCCAACACCATATCTAGCAATAAAACTGCAGCTGACATCTAGCATCTCAACAATAATTACTGCTGGGGTTTTTTATGCTTTTTAATTCACACAGCTCCATTAGTTAAAAATTAAATGAAGATCTTTTTCATTTCACTACTTTTAATTTCTAAAAGCTATTTTTATCTCTGTCTTTAAATAGAAGTTTTTTGCTGAAAAGTTTATTTCACAACACAAAAAATGTTAAGTATTATTAAGAAACTAATGTTCAACAGCTATATGCACAGGTACTATCCCCTAGGAATACCTGTGTACCACACCTCCCTACATGCCTCTAAATGAAAGGGCATAGGTGTCCTCTTTTCTACTATCTGTCACTCAATTTATAGCAATGGTAACGTGCCCAAATATCATACAACATGAAGTACTCTTGTTTTCATGGGATCTGGTTGAAGAATAAAATTTAGCTTTTTACTTCTCTAGTTAAACTTCAGTTTGCTTGTACTGTATTAATCAGGGATGACCCAAGGAGCAAATGGAGGATTTTTTTTTTTTTTTTTTTTTTTGACGGAGTCTCACTCTATTGCCCAGGCTGGAGTGCAATGGTGAGATCTCGGCTTGCTGCAACCTCCACCTCCCGGGTTCAAGCGATTTCCCTGCCTCAGCCTTCCGAGTAGCTGGGATTACAGGCATGCACTACCATGCCTGGCTAACAAATGGAGGAATTTATTGCACCAGGAAATGATCACATTATAGATAAGGGCAAATATTTTATTTTAAAAGCTACTAAAGGAGTTAAAAAGAATGTTGTGTAATTTCTTTCTTCAGAGATGTTTGCAAACTGAATAGGTTATTCCTTACTTTCCAAATTCTGTTTGAGAAGCTTTAATATGTTGAGCTAATAAGACAAAAACATAGCAAAATTATATGGCTGGTGAAGACACAGCCCCTTTATAGATTTTTTTGCTTTTCATTGCTGGCTTCCCACAATGCCTGGGAAACTTCAGGACATTTTGCTCCTTCAATTTGAAGTATATGGCAATTTCTAGTACTTTGCTCACTAAATTTTGCAGAAGATGGCTCCTTGCTGTCTTTTGCTGAAAACATGAATTGTCTTCTTATTGCTTCAGCTCCTGGATTCCATTGTTAAGAGTCTGCTCTCATCTCCTGATATGACAGAGCCTCTTTAATTCTCAGGATCCTCTGTGCTCTCACAGAACCAAGTCCAATTCCCTTCTATAGATTGCATTTGACCCCTAACAAGTGTGTGGTAGGCAGAATTTTAATCCCATTCCTATGAATATATATGTTACATAAAAAAGGACTTTGCAGAAATAACTAAGCTTATAGTCGTTAAGATCTGGAGATTATTCTCAATTTTCTGGTTAGGTCTCTAATCACATGAGTCCTTAAAGGCAGGGAACTTTCTGTGGATTCAGGGAGTTTTGGCCAAAAGGAAATCAGAGAGTCAAGTATCAAAATTACTCAGTGCTCCATTAATTGTTTAAAGATTGAAGAGGAAACAGGACAGGGAATGTAGGTAGCTTAAGGGCTTAGAGGTCTTCCAGCTAACAGCCAGCAAGGAAATAAGGTCCTTAGTCCTGCAATCACAAGAACTGAATTTTGTCAATAACCTGAATGATCTTAGAAGTGGAATCTCCTACAGAGCCAGCAGGTAAGAGCACAAGGCTGCCAATACCTTGATTTTGGCTTCATGAGAGGTTCTAAGCAGAGTACCCAGTCAAGCCCACCTGGACTTTTGACAGACAGAATTGTTAGAAAATGTGTGTGTTGTTTTAAGGTCCGAAGACTGTGCTAATTTATTATGGCAAAATGGAAAACTAATACAGAATGACTTTATGTGGAGCGACTTTATGTGGAGTGACTTTATGTGGAGCCTAGTAAATTGGTCATCTTTCATTTACAACTTTGTAACAATTAACTACATTACTCCTGTATACAGTGCAAGCTCTATGTTACTACTAATGCTTTCTTAAAAGAATCTTTGGCTGGGCGTGGTGGCTCTCGCCTGTAATCCCAGCACTTTGGGAGGCCAAGGCAGGTGGATCACGAGGTCAGGAGATGGAGACCATCCTGACTAACACAGTGAAACCCTGTCTCTACTAATAATACAAAAAAAAAAAAAAATTAGCCAGGTGTGGTGGCGAGCACCTGTAGTCCCAGCTACTTGGGAGGCTGAGGCAGGAAAATGGCATGAATCCAGGAGGCGGAGTTTGCAGTGAGATGAGATCGCGCCACTGCACCCCAGCCTGGGCGACAGAGCGAGACTCTGTCTCAAAAAAAAAAAAAAATTATTGCTATGTTTTAATGCTTTCATACCTATTTACTGAATGAGATCCAGATCGAAGCCCTTCATTTGACTTCTGTGGTCAGAATCTTTCCCTCTTTTATGAGCATGAGATACTTCCTGCTAACTTATGTAAAACGGAAAGGGAATTGATGTCATACCACAGTGTTGAAAATAATGATAGATTAACACAAAGGAAAGCAGAGACAAAGAGGCTAGGTTTCATGTAATACAGTTTCAGCTGATGGATACAGCCACACCGAAACTGGTTTTTTATTTTCAAGATCATTGCATTAGTTTTTCTGTCACATACAACACAGTGTTTTGATATATAAACATCTCTAAATTTGTTTATAAGTGGTATTAGCTAAACTAAACACCAAACTCTAAATCACTCTTACATCACGTATTATTTTAGTCACAGGTGTGTGTTACACTGATTACAACTTATCTTTTCTGGTGTATCACAAGTACCGTGATGCCAGAAGCAATGTCTAATGCACATCATCAGTGCTGTTGAAATAGTATTGAATTTGCATCGACTAAGTAGTTAAGAATAACTAGAGAAGAAAAACAAAGTAATAATAATTTAAGGGTTTTTTTATGAAGACGTTAATACACTTTATAAACACTGACAGTCACTTTTAGTTAGCTTCCAGTGTTAGAAAATGAGACCTAATGAGTCATACATATTTCATGATACAGATATAACAGAAACAAAAGGGGAAAAAGGGCGTTTTACTTCACTTTTTGATAATTTTTAGTGTATTCAATTGATGAATAAAATGCTACTTGGTTGGTAGAAAAACATTTTGCATATGAAACAAAATATCACATTACTCATGATGGCTATTTCAATATATGTAACTAGACACCAAATAATTTTGCAGAGGATCTATTTCAAGGCATAAAAAACCCGTCTTAAAAAAAAAAAAGTCAGTCCTGCCTTTGACTTGAATTCAGATTAGGTAAGTATTTGGCCCCAAATTGATTGAAGGACATATTTATTTTTTAAAATATTTATTTTAAATTGTCATGTAATTGTACATATTTATGGGGTACAATTTTATGTTTTGATACATATCTATGTTATATAATAATCCAACCAAGGTAGTGTATTCAATATCTCATGCATTTACCATTTCTTTGTGGTGAGAGACTTCAAGAGCTTCTCTTCTAGCTATTTTCTAATATACACTATTTTACTGTTAACCATAGTCAGCCTACTGTGCAATAGTACATCAGAATTTAATTCTCCTGTCTAATTGTAGTTTTGTATCCATTGGCCAGCCTCTCCCCATCCTCCCCTTTCCTCTCCACCTCTCAGTTTCTGTTCCACTCTCTTCTTAATATCAACTTTTCTGTTGTTGGTGGTTTTGGGTTATCTTTTTCTCAGATTCCACATGAGTGAGGTCCTGTGGTATTTGTCGTTTGGTGCCTGGTTCATTTTACTTAACGTGATGTCCCCTAGGTTCATCTATGTTATGCAAATGACAGGATTTCATTCCTGTTTATGGCTGCATAATGAATATTTCATTGTGTGTATACCACATTTTCTTTATCCAATCTGTATCAATGGATGAAGAAATCTGTATCATCCATTGATACAGATTGAGGTTGATTCCATATCTTGGCTATTGTGAATAGTGCTGCAATGAAAATGGGAGCACAGATGTCTATTTGACATACTAACTTCATTTTATTTGGATATATACCCAGCAGTGGGATTGCTGAGTCATAAGATAGTTCTACTATTAATTTTTAAGGAAACCTTCATACCATTTTTCATCATGGCCACTCTAGTTTACAATCCCACCAAGAGTGTGTGTTCCTTTTTCTCTACATCCTCAAACCAACACTTGTTTTCTTTTGCCTTTTTGATAATAGCCATTCTAAGTGGAGTGAAGTGTATCGCACTGTGGTTCTGATTTGCATTTTTCTGATAATTAGTGATGTGGGATATATTTAAATAATTCAATTAATACAGAATATTTAGAGACCTAGATTCACAATTATATTTGCATTTTGAAATCTTATAATTTGCATGAATGTAAGTCTGTGAATTTATTATTTGCAGGAATCTAGGATTTGAAGACCAAATTATCCAGCCTGTGTTTACATACTGCCCACATTTGCCATTTAAGTCTCAATTTTAGCTGTTGCTTGGTTGTAGAGCACTGAGCCTGTCTAATACATGCTATAGTGAAGTGGTAAGGATACACGAATATCTACTTATTGAAACGATTACAGGTATATTATGATTTTACATACAGCTCTATTGATAACCAATCAGAGAAAAACACTAAGGGGTATATTGCAGAGTGTTAGATATTCTATCCCTACAAAGGAATGGAATACACCACTAATATCTGGGTGGTGATATATTAATTTTTGTAATGAGAAAAATTATTGCCAGATGATATATTAAGTAACTGTCAGTTTATTTTCTAAAGAATGTCTAAGTTCATATTTTTAAATATACAGTGGAATATATTCCAGTCTTTTACATCTATAACAAACAGGAATTTTAAACATTCATATAAAGCCAATTTATGTTGCCAGTACTGTTGAGCACTTTCCATGTCTGGGCAGATGCTCTTATTTGAAAGGACGCTTTTATTTTAGGCATAGTTTCTTTTCTCTCTGAATTCTACCAGTCTGCCAATGAGTCTTTGTTTAAAACATCACAGCTCATGCCTGTAGCCATGGCTGTCACAGATAGAGGTCTGCAACCAATTGGATTTTACTAAACCATGGCCTTAATGATTCAATTCTATCTTTCGAGGCAATGATTCCTTTGGATATATTGATAATGTCTAATATTTTTGAATTGTAGAGCAAGAAGATATGCAATTTAATTTGCCTCCTTCTGCTTTTAGACAGGTAAAATTCTAAACTGTTTGGAGGAGATTCTTTAAAAAATTTTAAAGACATAGGCCTCACAACTTTGGCTGTATATGTTTAATTATTCTTGACTAGTGGTAATCCCGAAGAGAAGTCCTTTTATGTATACAACCAAAATGTCTTCTGTGACTTTTTATATTTCTGACATACTGGAAACAAAAACAAACAAACCAAAACAAGCATTTGCTTCAAGTCACCATTCAGAGTTTTTTACTTTAGTTAAAATCCCATTTTTTTTTATATTTCTGGTGATACACCATATTTGTTAATGCTTATGAACTTGTTATATTGGTTTTACAGAAATTTAACACAGAAGTGTCAGTAGAAAACATGTTAGACTGATGATATGGTTTCTGTCTATAAGATATATCATTATTATTGTAAATAAAAATAAATTATTGTATTATATATAGTGCCTTAAAGTTCAAAAAGGGATTTATATTCAAATGAGCTCATATACACTCTCTCTCTGATTCTCTCAGTTATTATTAATACTATTATTTTAGCTAGGAAAGAATAACAAAATGTCAGATGCAACAGATGAATTAACAAAGATTTGAGGTCCTTAGAAGTGAATTTAAGAGTACACCTAATCTAACTACTCACTAACATAAGGAATTAGTCCTGAGGGAGAAAAATTGAGTATTTATTTTATTTTGATTAAGCAGAAAATAGTTTAAGAATAAAGGGATGGGGCTGAATAGGGACATCTTGTTCTGTTTTAGTTTTAATCATATTGAAGGCAGAGAGAGAGACCTTTTCTTATTTATGACTAGAGTTGATGCAGTAGTTCTGATTGGAGTAGTGTTTGTTTCCCTTCCTGTGTCTGTTACCTTTGCTTCCTTCTAGAAGCTGTGACCAGGTAAAAGAAAATGACTACACAGGAAAAAAAATATATATACATATATATATATATATATATATATATATATATATATATATATATATGAGCCTTTTCCTATTGAATATTATGAATTTCCTCCCATTATTTGCTCTCATGCCTTAACAATGTCACTATATGACTGATTCATTTATCTGAAAGCCAATTTGATTTCCTTTCCTCCATAGCTTCTCTCAGTTCTTATTACGGGAAAGCCTGTTTTTATACCTTTTATAACAATTTTTTTAAGTTAAAAAGGGTACTGCTTTCAATCTACCCATTTAAATTTCAATCTCCTTTATTTTCCAATTTTTCAGGACTATCTTGTCTTGGGTTATGAGTCATAAAAGATCAAGAAGCAAACATCAGGTGCACAATGAACTAGGAAGACAGAAGCTTACCCTAGTTTGGCAAACTCAGAAATATATTTTGGTCAGGTGGGCAGAGATTTAGCATGGCAAAAGCTATTATTATTATTTCATTGTTATTATCATGTTTATTATGTTTATTATTTTAAAGGACATAATCATTTATAGAATATCACTCACTGAAATTTAATGCAGGGCAGTCAAGGGGAAGCATGCTGTGACTAATATGCACATGAGGAAAACATAATTTAAAAGGTTTAAAAAGGACATGGGCTAATTCAAGAATTTAGCCTAGTACAGGCAAGGCATAGAGTTGGTGTTCTATATTTAATTTAAGCATTTAATTAAATAGTCCAGATCTTCTAGTAGAACAGAATAGTATAGGTAAGAAATGAGACTTGATCCTAGTTACGTCCTTGAAGGCAGATCTTTATCCATCTACTTTCTGTGGAGCGACGATCTTATTTTCCTATGGTGCTGATACAACTGTAATTTGGAAAGTTATCAAAGGCCTTTGTCAAATTGAGATTGATTATATCTCTCATCTTTTTCTGTTGTTCATTTCTTTATCTCAAAAGATGCTAACATAGATGACTGCTCTACAGCTGAGTCGAAGGTTCTCAAAATTTGTGTGCATCAAACTCCTGAGAGTTTGTAAAAACATATATTTCTAGGTTCTACCTTACACTTCCAATTCAGCAGATAGAGGCTGAAAGTTTGCGTTTGTAACCATCTCTAAGTAATAGTGATGCTACTGATTTGAGGCTACACTTTGAGAATCATTGCTGCAAGCCACTACTATCAAGTCAGTTGAATTTATATTATATGAATACAGCACTTCAATGCAAAAGCAATGGTGTTTATATTCATTATATGGCTTTGAATACTGTAATGCACAAGGCAAGTGGAATATGTCTGTAATTTTACCGAAACCAGCTTTGCTAGAAGGGATATTCTAGCTAGCTACTAAATATATTCACTTGGAAATGTATGACAAAAGATTAAGCTCTAACAAATGAAAAACTACATTTTCCAATTATTTCATGGCTCAGCTGTTGACAACTTATTTGCTAATGCTTAGTAATTCAGTGGTTGGAATATTTATGAGGGTCATACTTTTCCAAAGAATAATGGTGATTATTATTCAGAGGCATCGTAGTAATGAATAATATCCTGTAGAAGCCAATTATATAAGAAGTCAAAGAATGTTGGCCATTCATATGAGGGCATAGATTTCATGTCCCATAAACTATCTTACTAATTGTCATTTTTCTCAGCTGGGCATTTGATAAGAACTGAGGAGGACATAATTGGAGATTAAGTTTTATCAAGGATCTGAAGAACTGATATTCTGTATTGCTGATTAAACATAAAACACTCTATTTAAAAAATTGGCAGTAGGGGTTGGCAGTCTCTTGCCAAACCTAAGAAATTATACTAACAGAATTCAGAAATATCTAATAATATAATTTTAAAAAGTCTACCTGTACTTTGTTGTGCTTTAATGATGGAGAAAGCAAATGAATAAAAATGTTATTTTCTGGACTGATAGCAACCTGAATCTATAATTCTATGACATGATTGGCACGCTTTAAAAGAAAAATCCTGTTTACATGCTTCTTCTTGATTAGATTCAAGATGGAACTTCTATTTTTTTTTTTTTTTTTTTGAGACAGAGTCTCACTCTGTTGTCCAGGCTGGAATACAGTGGTGCAATCTTGGCTCACTGCAACCTCTGCCTCCGGGATTCAAGCAATTCTTCTGCCTCAGCCTCCTAAGTAGCTGGGATTACAGGTGCATGCCACCACGCCCAGCTAATTTTCTTGTATTTTTGGTAGAGACGGGGTTTCACCATGTTGGTCAGGCTGGTCTCAAACTCCTGACCTGATGATCTGCCTGCCTTGGCCTCCCAAAGTGCTGGGAGTACGGGCGTGAGCCACCGTGCCCAGCCCTGGAACTTCTACTTTTTATATTATTTTCTCTAGTGTGTGGCTCCTAGTAGATATTCAGTAAGTGTTTGTTGAACTGCTAACCAGAAAGCTTCACTGAAGCTATATAAATGAACCTTAGAAGATGGGATTCAAAAAAAAAAAAAAGCGAAGATGGGGTTTTAATTTTCATAGTTATCAGTTAATTTCATCTCTGAGTATATGCTGAGACCATAACACAAAATGATCCATTTCTGTAAGGCAGTCATATCGCTTTGTAGTCACTTCACGTTGATTTCTCAGTCTGACTTCCCAGCTGTGATTTTGCACACAGCTTTCCTATGGAAATACGTTGGTTAAATACAACCTTCTAGAAGCACAAGCTGTATGATTTCAGGTCATATGACAGATTTAGAAAGCATTAGTTATTCTTTTCTAATTGCAAAGGATTAATATCTAGGTAGCTGAGTTTATAAAAAGTGTGCTGAATGAGAGGCAACCTCCTGAAATAAGACTGTGCAGCTCTCAGTGGGGACTGCCTGACACATCTCACAATAACGGCATCATCAGCTATAATCACATCACCCAGATCATTTAAATGATGCCAAACTTTAAGTGAGGGAAAAGGAGCCACACTCAGCATGCCTCTGGAAATTGCATCTTTTTAATCAAAATAAATTATAACTCAATAGAGACTTTTATCTCTGGAATTAAATGTGCTGAAGTTTTATGTCTGTAATACTGTGAAGGAATATTCTTTCCATCTTATTGATAGACTTGCAAAAGCTAAGTCAGATTCACAAGTAGAAACTGATTTGGCCCCAAATATATGTGTGTCCTATTTAAGTCAGATCCCTTAAACCTTAACTAGTCAAACTACTCATAAAAGGCAAAAACAAAACAAAACAAAACAAACAAACAAAAAACAAAACCCTAATTATGTCACATAATTAGACATCTGCTTATCTCTCTAATCACATATTTTATTAATTCTCATCTTGATTATGCTTCTGAAGACACACTGGACATGGGTCACACAAATCACTCTATCATCTGGGCTAGGCAGGCTTAGCTGATCTTGGCTAGGATTTTTTCTGCATCAGCTGGTGAGTTGGATGGAGAGCTGGCTAGTTAGTCCAGGATGACTTCCCTCAATATCTAGTGGTTAGCCGGTTGTTGCATGGGATAATGCTGGTGTCTGGGCCATATGTTTATCATTATCCAGTAGGTTAATCTTGGCTGGTCCCAAAAGAGCTACTGGAAGCACATAAGAGCTTTCAAGATTCAGCTGCAGAACTGGCACAGTCATGTCTGCCATATTCTTCCACCAGAACAAATCTCAAAGCAACCCAGAGTCCAAAGGTGGGCAAATAAACCAGACCTATTGATGGAAGGAACTCATAATTATATTGCAAAGGACATTGATAGAGAGAAAGCTTAAGAATCGGGGCAATGCTTGTGTAAAATCCACCATATCACCTTATCTTATTTTTTTCATAGTATTTATCACTTCCTGGAGTGATAGCTTTTGTTCTTAATTTGATAAGTATCTGCTTTTTGCTCACATGACTATAAACTCCATGAAAAGAGGAATCCTGTCTGACTTTTTATAATCTGTGTTTCTACAGGGTCTAAAGCTTTGTTTGCCAGGTACTTATTAAAATTTGTAATGATTGAATAGATGAATGAGGTCACTGGTATCACAATATACACTACATATATTTCTAATTCTTTTAAATCTGTATTGTTTTTGATAAATTCACAAAGGATACTCATTTTTGCCTCAAAAAAGAAATTATCTATACAGTAGAGTCCTGTAGGAGCTAATAATCTATGAAAAGAAATGCAAATATGTGTATGTTTCTCATTAGACTCCTAAGCCCATTGCACCTGGTCATATTCCTTGTGGTTTTTTTTTTTCTTTCTTTTTTTAAGTCTATGAGCAAAAATCTCTTCCCATGCCTCATATAACTGCTGCCTCTCAGAATTCACGGAGCTAAGGGGGAAAAAAAGAAGTCTTAATGAATAAAAACAGTCCTTAGGTCATGAACAGCCATGTACAACCAGACATGGCAGCCAGAAAAGAGCTTAAGCCTCAAAAGAAGCAGCAGTTCAGGGCTAACCAGCAATATTAGACACTGAGACATGTTATTTTTTGGTATGCATCAATGTGGAACAAGGGAAAGGGCACTGCTATATTTGAGCGACAACTGCATATAACGTGTTTTTCTGGAGTTTTACACACTTCATTTCCTCCTCACAACAAAATGTATTATTATGCCAACTTTGAAGATACGGCACTAAGAGAGGTTAAGTAATTTGCCAAGTACTATTTAGATTGAAAGAAGTCAAACAGGGAATTAATCCCAAGGTCTCCTCTTTCACTACGTTCCAGGAACTAGGAAGTTAAAAATGAGAGTGGTAAGCTATATAAGAAGCATACTAATTTATTTCTTGTCAGTGAGGGATAATCTTTTAGTGATATTAACTTAAAAGCATAGACAGATATAGATAAACAGCCTATCCTAAGATACACAGAATCAAATGAGTTTGAAGAGTATAGCAATCTGTAGCAATAGAATCAGGATAGCACCTACAATTAGTAACAGAATTGACCCAAATGTCTGGTCATCTTAAAAGAGGGTCTTAGAAACCTGAAACCTCAACATTATAAGGTGCTACTGTTTGTAGTAATGATAATCATTAATCATAGTGTAATGGTGATAAAACAAAATAAGCAGTGCAGGGGATCACTGAGAACCTCAGTATCGTAGTGTAAAGGAAGCTCAGACAGGACAATGCATTATGAGGTAGTTCAAAATGTGAGGCAATGAGAGAGAAAGACAATGATAAAAACAATGACTATGACTCCCAGTACAATAGTGGCAGCAATGCTTTAAAGTAGTACTCCTCAAAATAATGACATGCACAAAAATCACCCGGGGATTCTGTTAAAATGTAGCTTTTCATTCAGTACATTTGGGTCAGACCCCAAAACACTGTATTTCTAACAAGTTCCATTTGAAGCCAGTGCTGCTGTTCCAAGAACCACACTTTGAGTGTCAAGAGTCTATTTGTCAACAGAAGCATTTCCATATAATTATAGGGCATCTAATAAATGAAAAACAAATATTCATGATTGAAAGCCTCTTCCTCTGACACACACACAAATACACACAATTACACACATACACACAACCCTCATACTCACACATACATTTTCTCTCATACACATACAACTACATGCATGTTTTTTATCAAAATATATGATAAAAACAAACAACTGGATCAGAAAAAGAATTAAAATACTACCACGTTCACCCAGTGAACTGAAATTGGTAATTTATACCAGAATGAGACCTGACCTGTTTGGAAAATACAGAGGTTAAATGGTTAACTTTCATTGTCGGTAGCAGTATATATTATATTCATATTTTTATGAGTAACAAAAATGTTTTGTTTCTGGTGTACTTTTATTTGGATGGTGGATTCACAATATTGAGTTTTAGTCATGGGAGAGAACACATACCTTTTGACCTGTTACCCAAATGACTTCCCAACTAAAGACTTTTATATAAACAGTTCCAGACTGATTATAGCTTGCAAGGTTGATGTCTACGAAGAATTCTGCCTTTTTTCTACCAGTTAAAATAAATAATTTAAACTTAAGTTTTCTCCTGTGTTTAGAATCTAGAAGGAAATTAATCAAGCTGAGATGAATAAAGAGAAACGTGGTTTAGAGAAATAAGATAACCTATCTAAAAGGCTTGGAAATGAGTTATACAATACTAAAAGAACATTTTTTGATTGAGCTTTGAGCCAAAAAGTATTATTAACTTGATTAATGTACACCAATTATTGTTTTCAGAAGCATCCAAGACACATTTTTTAGCTCTACATGAAATGCAAAAATAAATATAATAAAAATAGTAAGCTTGATGGTAGTTAGAAAGAATTAAAGAGTTAACTACTTAAGCATTAGAGTCCTTCAACAGTGAAACGGGCTATGCATGGTACTCACATTTTCTCCAGTTATAAAAACATAAACCATATTAAGTTTATATCAGAAAGAACACTTTATGATAAAGATTCAAAGGAACAGAAGAAAACTTGGGATTGCTATATAGGTAGGATTCCCACAAGAAAAGTTCCCATAAAATCCAGGCAAAGTTTATTATTAGGCAGTAACTATAATAGCCAACACAGACCCTAGCAGCTGCCATCACAGAAGCAAGCTTCCATGGAACCCTGTTCTCCCCTGTGACATTATAGACATTTCACTATTTTCTACTCCTGCATCTGTTATTGCTTCAGTCCTTGACGATCTGTACCTTCCTGTGTATAATTTTAAAAGAAACTTTTTGCAAGAATATAGTCTCACTGATTTATTTGATGAATGATGCCATCCTGCTCAAGAATAGCTGGTCACCAATTAGGCAGCCTAATAACCAGTAGCCCATGGGGCAGACACCCACCATTGACCAAATAAGCTAAGCCAAGTTGAGGAGCACAGATGGTCAACTTTCCTCAGAAGAGACTGTGGGCATAACGTCACTCAAAGCATAATAAGCTGTTCTGCAGCTTTTAGAGGACTATCCTTTGAGACTGTCAAAAATAAGGCTGCCAGTACCTCTCCTGAGATAAGCCGGAGGAGCTTCACAGAGAAGAAACAGTATAACACTATTGAAATCTCTCTCAATACCATCTCAATGATTGTGAGAAGGAGTAAGAGGTCCATATAATAAAAGAAAATGTATTGAAAGGATCCCACTGAAAGCTGTCTTTTTAATTAAGGCATAAACTTACTTCAGTGTTATAAAGAGATGCAAGTCTTGTAGGGGGCACAATCAAGCTTGACTGAAGATAACTTTTGAAGTTACCCAGAACAATCTATTACCTTGCAAACGAAATACATTAAGGTACAGAAGTTCTAATACATGTGTCTAATGGCAAGCAAGCATTCATGCTAAAGCCAGTTATTATTTATTTATTCTTTCAAAAAAAGATTTTATCCAGAGCTTACTGTGCACAAGGAACTATGGAAAAAATACAACCCCTGCTTTCAAGTGGGTTTAGCATTTACAATCACAATCACACAAGAGTATGGGCTTCCAAGATACATGGTGTGGGTTGGAGTCTTGGCTCTGCCATTCATTAGCACTGACATTGAGAAAGTTAGCTAACCTCTCTAGTTCCTGGTCTTCTCATCTGTAAAGACAATGTTATATACTTCATGATTATTGTGAAATTAAATTAGATAGTGATTGAAGTGCTTTGTATAGAGTCTGTAACAGAGAAGGTGTTTGGTCAATGTAAGCTATTATTCATCTAGTTCACTGGGTATTCTATATGTGCCATCAGTGTTAAAAGTTTATCCAACTTTAATAGAGATAAGTAATAGCAATAACAGTGGTGACAACAAAATAATATTTGATACATATTCACCCATTATATGAAACAGGAAAGGTAGGAAGATTGAGTGCACACTAATGTCTGGTGTTCAGGTGATATACAGTTTCCTCAAAATGCAGAGCTTATAATGCAAAACACATTGAAGACATAAAGATTAGGAGATACAGTCAAAAAGATCGCATTAGCACACAAAGAAGAGGCAATGCCTAATCTAAGAATTAAAAACAAATTTTCTATACTCATAAAAAATAATACAATTTGATTTTAGAGCAAAGGGCAATCTTTGGACTGATTTAGGTAGCAGATGGTCCTGGGTAGAGATCACACTTATTGACTGCTTGAACCTAGGCAGTTATATATAACTCTTTAAACCTCAGTTGCCATATTTATAAAATTGTAATAATAAAAACATATAGCTTATCTGGGCTTTTGGATGACTTAAATATATGTAAAATGCTTAGTACAATATCTAGCACAATTGAGCCATTCAACATCGTTTAATCAACTCTTCCTGCTCTACCCTGCCCTGAAAAAGAGAGAAATACAGCTTATTAAGAATGTCTTTTAGAAATTCTTAATGGCTTTGCACAACTGGTGCAAGTGATAAGAGTCTGGTCATCTCTTTACCTAGAGATTGTATTAGGATTTCCTGACTTGGCCACATTCTCCTCTGTGTTAGGTGGGCTGCATACACACAAAAAAACATTGTATATGATTTAACAATTTAGAAAAGTATTTCCTTCCTACAATAAAATGAGTTGTCTGCATTGTCTGCTAGGTGCCTTGCCTAATGACAGGGTTCAGTGATATTCTTTATTCTTTTAAGTGTCAGCAAAATAAAAAAAAAAATTAAAAAAAAGGAAAAAAAGATGAAACCTGCAGAAAACCCAAAATGTTAAAGTGAGAAATTTACTGAAACAGAATTGCTCCAAATTTAACGAATGAAGAGGCTAATTATGAAGGTAGAATTCTACGAGGGTAGGAGTCTTATAAATTCAACGTTACTGTGTCTTAGGTTTTCAGAAATGCAAATTACCACCCACAGTTTATTGCCTACAGAAAGGATGTTAACTAGCATATTTTATCCTGCATGCAGGTTTTAAACTTCTCATAAGACGATTTCAAAACAACATTTTCTGAACTGAATGATAAAAATTAGATAATTATGAAATTTCAAGGGCATCTAGGCAGAATTGTGAATGTAGGATTTCTAAGAACTTTTAGCTCTCCAACTTGTCTATTAAATCGTTCTTTGTTTTCTTCTAAGTGATTGAGTACGTATATACATACATATAGGTTAGAATACAAACATATTAGTGCTTATTTTAGGCAAAAGAAGAGATAAGAATTAAGTAACCCATCTTGATCTCTGAGATGGTTAAATGTGGGGCAAAACATTAGAATTACTAAGATAGCATATATGAAGTCACTAGATTTCCTGTTTGGTCCATAATATATTAAATATTTCTTGAAAAAAACTGAATTAAAAATTATAGGCTGTTTGGAGAAAATAGAAGTCTTCTGTTGCAACTTTCAACAAGAACAAATGGAAACAAGCTTAGGTTTGAGCATCAGTATCAGTGAAACTGAGATCTCATTTTGATTCGGAAGCATTCTCAGAGCTTAGTTAAGAGAGAGGAACATGAGTTAAAAAGAGAATTACATGATTTCTCCTAAACTTAACCCTCACAAATATCTATGAAGGAGGAATATATGTACATACACACTAACTCTCTCTCACACATGCACACATATTTCAACTACAGACCTGTTACAGTTCCAGGGACCTAGCAGAAACTCAGAAAACTTTCTGTGTTTAAAAAAATAAGTGTTACATTTGAGGACGCAGTGCGGCCAAGATTTTGAACTGGAGCCAGTAGACTTCTTGTTAGGCTATGTACAGTTTTAAAACAATGTGACCTCGGAGGACTGCATAGTTTTGTTGGAGTGCTTTGCTTTCATAGGGTGGTTAGAAATGAGACCCACCTCCAGAAACCCTAGGAGTGAACACTTAAGGAAAACAATTTTGGATAAGATCTAAGTCTATTCCTTAAGATTCAATACTAACAGAGTCCTAGAGATTTATTATAAATCTTTCATAGAAATAGAGTTTCTACTTGAAGATTTACAGTGTTCACTAGTGATTACAAATAGACTTTTAAAAAATACTTTAAGTTCTGGGATACACGTACAGAACGCGCAGGTTTGTTACATTGGTATACATGTGCCATGGTGGTTTGCTGCATCCATCAACCCATCATCTACATTAGGTATTTCCCCTAATGCTATCCCTCCTCTAGCCCCCACCTCCTGATCGGCCCCAGTGTGACCCTCCCTGTGTCATTGTATTCTCATTGTTCAACTCCCACTTATGAGTAAGAACATGCGGTGTTTGATTTTTCTGTTAGTTTGTGTTAGTTTGCTGAGAATGATGGTTTCCAGCTTCATCCATGTCCCTGCAAAGGACATGAACTCATCCTTTGTTATGGCTGCATAGTATTCCATGGTCTATCTGTGCCACATTTTCTTTATCCAGTCTATCATTGATGGGCATTTGGATTGGTTCCAGGTCTTTGGTATTGTGAACAGTACTGCAATAAACATATGTGTGCATGTGCCTTTATAGAAAGATTTGTAATCCTTTGGATAGATACCCAGTAATGGGATTGCTGGGTCAAATGGTATTTCTGTTTCTAGATCCTTGAGGAATTGCCACACTGTCTTCCACAATGGTTGTTATTTTTATTGCTCTTTGATCATTTTTGTTGGCATCATGCAGCTTATTTGTGTGTTAAGGATCTGGACATTTCTTTATCTAAAGGTATTATCAAATTTCCTGACAAGTAAAAGTGTTCGTCTTTCTTATCACAGTGTTAATCCTAGTTGGGTGGTATACACAAGGAAGTGTCCATCACTTTAAGCACATAGTAGAAACCAGCTACATTTGAGTGACTAGAAAATCTATAAACAAATGGCTGGGCGCGGTGGCTCACACCTGTAATCCCAGCACTCTGGGAGACCAGGGCGGGTGGATCATGAGGTCAGGAGATCGAGACCATCCTGGCTAACATGGTGAAACCCCATCTCTACTAAAAATACAAAAAATTAGCCAGGCATGGTGGCACATGCCTATAGTCCCAGCTACTAGGGAGACTGAGGCAGGAGAATGAACCCAGGAGGCAGAGGTTTCAGAGCTGAGATCGTGCCACTGCACTCCAGCCTGGGTGACAGAGCGAGATTCCATCTCAAAAAGAAAAAAAAAAAAAAGAAAATCTAGAAACAAACACAATGTTATCTTGTGAAGGTAGCCTGCATTAATAGAGAAGCACTATTCTTTTCTCTTTCAAGATATTTGATAGAAAAACAATGGCCATTATAAATTTATTGCCGAATTACAAAGTATTTAATATAAATGTAGAGATTCCAGGGGATTCTGGACACAAATATTGATGGCTAATTTTTAAGACTGTTCTTTCAAAACAGTTTCAAGTTCACAGCAATATCAAGAGGAAGGTACAAAGATTTCCCATACACTCCCTGCCCCCACTTAGGCATAGCATCCACCATTATCAACATCCTCAAAGTTCATAGTTTGACTTAGGATTCACTTGTGATGTTTTACCTTCTATGGGTTGGCACAAATGTATCATGAAATGTACCCATCATCATAGCATCAAACAGAGTCACTGCCCTCTAAATCTTCTGTGATCAACCTACCCATCCTTTCGCCACCCTTCAACCTCTGGCAACTACTTATCTTTTTACCATCTCCATAGTTTTGCCTTTTGTAGACTGTTATATTATTGGTATCATACAGCACGTAGTTTTTTTAGATTAGCTTCTTTCACCCAGTAATATCCATTTAAGTTTCCTTCATGTCTTTTCTCAGCTTGATAGGTCATTGCTTTTAGTACCAAATACTATTTCATTGTGTGGATGTATGACAGTTTATGTATCCATTCACCCCCTGAAGGATGTCTTAGTGGATGCCAAGTTTAGTCAATTATAAGTAAAGCACCTACAAATGTCTGTGTTCAGGTTTTGTGTGGATACAAGTTTTCAACTTCTTTGGGTAAGTACAAATGAGTGTGATTGCTAGATCTTATGGTAAAAGTATGTTTAGTTTTATAAGAAGTCACCAAACTACCTTCTAAGGTGGCAGTGCCACTTTGGATTCCTACCAGCAATGAATGAGAGCTCCTGTTGCTACACATTCTCACCAGCATTTGGTGGTGTTAATGTTCCAGAGTTCGGCCATCTGAGGAGTGAAGGAGTGTGGGAGTGTAGTGGTAACTCATCTTAATTTGCATTTTCCTGATAACATATGATGTGCAACATCTTTTCACATGCTTATTTGCCATCTGTATATCTTCCTTGGCATGGTGTCTGTTCAGGTCTTTAGCCTATTTTAAATCAGGCTTTTTGTGTTCTTATTGTTTACTTTTAAGAGTTGTTTGCATATTTTTGATAACAGTCTGGTATTAGAGGTATATTTTGCAAATATTTTCTACGAGTGTGTGGCTTATATTCTTATTCTATTGACACGGTCTTTCACAGAGCAGAGTTTTGAATTTTAACAAAGGATAGCTTATCAATTATTTATGTCATGAATCTTGCCTTTGGTGTTGTATCTAAAAAGTCATTAACATACCTAAGTTTATCTATGTTTTCTTCACATTATCTGATAGGACAATTATAGTTTTTCACTTTATATTTAGGCCTGTGGTCCATTTTTAGTTAATTTTTGTTAAGAATGTGAGGTCTGTTTATAAATTTACCTCCTCCTTTCTCTCTTCCCTTCCCCTTCCCTCCCTTCCCTCCCTCCCTCCCTTCCTTCCTTCCCCTCCTCTTCTTCTTCCTCTTCCTGATTATTATATAGAAAAGTGATTTTTGTATATTAACCTTGTATATGACAATCCTGCTATAATTGCTTATTAGTTCCACATGTTTTTAATCAATAATTTCAGATTCTTTACTTAGAAAATCATGTGAGATTTACAAATAAAGATAGTTTTATTCCCTTTCAACCTGCATGCCTTTTCTTTTTTTCCTTTTGTTTGTATTCTTGTATTTGCTATGATTCCAGTAAAATGTTGAGAGGGAGTTTTGAGAAATCATACTCTTGTCCTTGATCGTAGCAGAAAAGTTTTCAGTTTATCAAGATTAAATGTGATTTTAGCTCTAGGTTTTTTGGTAGATGTTCTTTATTAAGTTGAGAAAGTTCTCAATCTATTCCTAGCTTGCTGAGAGATAATGAATGGGTGTCGGGTTTTGTCAAATGCCTTTTTAACACTTATTGATATGATCACATAATTTTTCTTTTTAGCTTGTTGATGTGGTAGATTACATTAATCACTGCTTAAATTTGAATGAGGCTTGCATATTTGAGATAAATCCCACTTGGTTATGTTGTAGATTTATTTTTTAATTTTCATGGATTGAGAATAGCTATTCATATTTATGGGGTATATGTGATATTTTGATACAAGCATTCATGGATAATAATAGAACCTGGATAATTGGGATATCCATCACCTCAAATATTTATTTTGTGTGTGTGTGTTGGAAATGTTTCAAATCTCTTTGAGCTATTTTAAAATATATGATAAATTAGTATTGTTAGCTATAGTGATCCTATTGTGCTACTGAGCACTAGAACTTATTTTTTTTATCTAACTGCATGTTTGTAACCATTAAACAACCTTTTATTTTATTTATTTTTCAAGATGGAGTTTTTGCTCCTGTTGCCCAGGCTGGAGTACAAAGGCACAATCTCAGCTCACTGCAACCTCCACCTCCCAGGTTCAGGCGATTCTCCTGCCTCAGCCTCCTGAGTAGCTGGGATTACAGGTGTGCACCACCATGCCTGGCTAACTTTTGCATTTTTAGTAGACACGATTTCACCATGTTGGTCAGGCCTGTCTCGAACTCCTGACCTCAGGTGATCCACTCGCCCCGGCCTCCCAAAGTGCTGGGATTACAGGCATGAGCCACAATGCCCTGACTAATCAACCTTCCTTAATCCCTCCAACACACACTTCTCTTCCCAGCCTCTGGTAACTACCTTTCTATTTTTTACCTCCATGAGATCAATTTTTTTAGCTCTGATGTATGAGAGAATATGTGATATTTGTCTTTCTGTGCCTGGCTTATTTCACTTAACAAAATGTCTTTCAGTTCTATCCATGTTGCTGCAAATAACAAGATTTCATTCTCTTTTTAATGGCTGAATACTATTCCATTATGTATATTTATCACATTTTCTTTATCTATTCATGTTTTGATGGACACTTTGAATGATTCCGTGTCTTGGTTATTGTGAACACTGCTGAAGTAGTGGAAATGCAGATATCGCTTTGATATATGATATATATTTTTCTTCTTCTTTTTTTAATGCAGCAGTGAGATTGCTGGATCATATACTAACTAGATCCAGTTCTAGCTTTTTGAGGAATCTCCGTACTGTTTTCCATAGTGGTGGCACTAATTTACAGTTCCCCAAAAAGTATACAAGTGTTCTTATTTCTCTGCATCTTCACTAGCATTTATTATTTTCTGTCTTTTTGATAATAGTCATTTTGACTGGAGTGAGATTATGTTCCACTGCACTTTTTTTTTTCTCTTTTTTTTTTGAGACGGAGTCTCACTCTGTCACCCAGGCTGGAGTGCAGTGACCCGATCTCGACTCACTGCAAGCTCCATCTCCTGGGTTCACACAATTCTTCTGCCTCAGCCTCCTGAGTAGCTGGGACTACAGGCGCCCGTCACCACGCCCGGCTAATCTTTTGTATTTTTAGGAGAGAATGGGTTTCACCATGTTAACCAGGATGCTCTCGATCTCCTGACATCATGATCTGCCTGCCTCGGCCTCCCAAAGTGCTGGGATTACAGGTGTGAGCCACCGCACCCAGCCTCCACTGCAGTTTTAACTTGTATTTCCCTGATGGTTAGTAATGCTAGGCATTTTTTCATATACCTGTTGGCCATTTGTATGTCCACTTTTGTGAAATGTCTTTTCAGACAATTTGCCCATTTTAAAATCAGACTAATTTTTTTGCGATTGAGTTGTTTGAGTTCCTTATATATTTTGATTATTAATTCCTTGTTAGATGGGTAGTTTGCAAATATTTTCTTTCATTCTGCAAGTTGTCTCTTCACTTTGTTGACTGTATTCTTTGTTTTCCAGAAGCTTTTTAGCTTGATGTAATTCCATTTGACAATTTTTGCTTTGGTTGGCTGTGCTTTTAAGGTCTTATTCAAGAAATCTTTGCCCACACCAATGTTCTAAAGTGTTTGCCCAATGTATATTTTATTGTAGTAGTTTATAGTTTCAGAACTTACACATAAATATTTAACCCACTTTGAGTTGATTTTGGTGTAGATGGTGACAGATAGGGTTTTAATTTTTTTCTGCCTATGAATATCCAGTTTTGCCTGCAGCATTTATTGAAGAGACTGTCCCTTTTTCAATGTATGTTCTTCATGCTTTTGCTGAAAAATGTGTTGGTTATGAATGCATGGATTTATTTCTCAGTTCTCTATTCTGTTTTACTGGCCTATGTTTCTGTTTTCTTTTTTTTTTTTTCTTGAGATGGAGTCTCGCACTGTCGCCCAGGCTGGAGTGCAGTGGTGTGATCTCAGCTAACTGCAAGCTCTGCCTCCTGGGTTCACACCATTCTCCTGCCTCAGCCTCCCAAGTAGCTGGGACTACAGGCACCCACCATTATGCCCAGCTAATTTTTTATATTTTTAGTAGAGACGGGGTTTCACTATGTTAGCCAGGATGGTCTTGAACTCCTGACCTCGTGATCCACCCGCCTCGGGCTCCCAAAGTGCTGGGATTACAGGCGTGAGCCACTGCACCTGGCCTATGTTTCTGTTTTCATGCCAGTACCATCCTGTTTACTATAATTTTATAATATATTTTGAAGTCAGATAACGTGATGCCTCCAGCTTTGTTCTTTGTGCTCAAGATTGCTTTGGCTATTTGTGGTCTTTTTTTGGTCCTATATAAATTTTAGAATTTTGTTTCCTATTTCTGTGAAGAATATCATTGCTACATTGATAGATATTGCATTGAATATGTTAAATGCTCCAAGTAATATGGACATTTGAACAATAATAATTAGTCCATTCCATAAACCTCGAATAACTTTTCATCTTTTTGCATGTCCTGTTTCATCAGTGTTTTATAGTTTTTTTTTTTTTTGAACTTTTAAGTTCAGGGTACATGTTTAGGTTTGTTACATAGGTAAACTTGTGTCATGGGGGTTTGTTGTACAGATTATTTCATCACCCAGGTATTATGCCTAGTACCTATTAGTTATTTTTCCTGATTCTTTCCCTACTCCTACCCTCCACCCTCCAATAGGTGAGCGTTTTTCTCCTCTATGTGTCCATGTGTTCTCATGATTTATCTCCTACTTATAATTGAGAACACTCAGTATTTGGTTTACTGTTCCCGCATTAGTTTGCTAAGGATAATGACTTCTAGCTCCATCCATGTCCCTGCCATGGACATGATGGCATTCTTTTGTGTGGTTGCATAATATTCCATGGTGTACATGTGCCATATTTTCTCTATCTGGTCTATCATTAATAGGTATTTAGGTTGATTCCATGTCTTTGCTACTGTGAATATAGCTGCAATGAACATACACATTCTGTCTTTATAACAGAATGATTTATATTCCTTTGGGTATATACCCAGTAATGGGATTGCTAGGTTGAATGGTATTTCTGTCTGTCTTCTACTATGGTTGGACTGATTTACACTTCTACCAACAGTATATATGTGTTTCTTTTTCTCCACAACCTCACCAGCATCTGTTATTTTTTGACTTTTTAATAATAGCCATTCTGACTGGTGTGAGATGGTATCTTATTGTAGTTTTGATTTGCATTTCTCTAATCAGTAATGTTGAGCTTTTTTTCATATGATTCTTGGCCATATGTATGTCTTCTTTTGAAAAGTGTCTGTTCTTGCCCTTTGCCCACTTTTTAATGGGGTTGTTTTTCTTGTAGACTTCTTTAAGCTCCTTACAGGTGCTGGATATTAGACTTTATAGTTTTCATTATAGGGATCTTTCACTTCCTTGGCTAAGTTTATTCTTAGGTTTTTTTTTTGGTAGCTATTGTAAACAGAATTGCTTTCTTGATTTCTTATGCAGATTGGTCACTCCTGGCATATAGAAATACAAATTATTTTTGTATGTTGATTTTGTATCCTGAAATTTTACTGAATTTGTTTGTCACGTATAACAGTTTTTTTGGTGGAGTCTTTAGGTTTAGGTGATAATATGTGGTGGGAGGAGAAGCATTTTGTAGTCTTATGATTATGTCTCAGCTTTTTAGTAAGCCTAACCTTTTGGACTGTGAACTTCCCATGTGTTTCTCAATTTTTTTCTTCCCTAACAGGTGGGAAAGGAGAGCTAGAGTGGGCTGGGGTTGGGTATTTTTCTTCTTCCCGGTCAGTTAGGTGCCAATAGTACTCCAGCAGTTAGGCTGTGTTTAACTAGTTTCTCCTGAATGCAGACCTGTTAGTAACAACTGAGTGCTCTGGCATATTTTAAAATGGTTCCTTTTCCTCTCCCCCTGTCAGCACCATGTGGACATTTTCCCCCAATATTTACTGTGAGAACCTGGTAGAGCTGCTTGAGATAAATCTCATTAAATTGTCCCCCCTACCACCATACCCCTACCATAAATTTATTTCTTCTGGAGTATTTAACTCTCATTTTTATTGACACTGATACTCCAGCAATTCATTAATTACAGTTCAGGTTTTCCTACCCTGGTGCTGGTTCCTGCACTTGTAAGTCTCTGCCCTATTTAAGCTGAGACTCCCTGTATTCACCCGTCTGTCTGGCTAATCTTGACAGCAGTGTTTTTTTCTGTGTCTTCACTTTTCTTATAAACTGTAGAAGAATTGTTAATTTCTCAGTCTTTTCAGTTTTGTTAGGATGTATGGACACAGTGCTGACTTTCAAGATTCTTACATTTGAACTGGAAACAGAAACTTGGTTAATTTATGGAGAAAAAAATATTGCATCATGGAGAAAAAATGCAAAGTTATGAAAAATTATGTTTTATGTTAAAAAATTATCAAATATTTTGTAGTATCAGTTTAGATTAAAAAATACAAGGAGAGGGCAGAGAGGAGAGAGAGAAAGAATGAATTATTTTTTTCTGTCCTTGAAGCAGAAGAGTTAGGCAGGATGATCAATAAATGGCAGCTGTCAATATACTTCTGCCTTGCCACTTAAGACCTGAATAAATATTCAGTACTGCTTTTCTCGTTTTCTTATTAAAGTTATGTAGTATAATTCTTGTGGTCCCAAGTCTTGGTAAAATTAGATACTCACAAATATTTTCTAGGATAACGTAAGGGGAGATGTGTTTCACTTCTTTCCATAGGGAAGGGACAGAAAATAGCCATCATGAGATGAGAGATGCTTAGGTGGCTGAGATTTTAGGTTCAACAAGAACTTTAAGCAATGACGTGAATATGAGAATTTAGGTTCCCTAATATTTTGAAAATCTTGCCAGGTAATTTTTCACTTTTCATCAGAATTGAGATAGACAGTTTGAGACAATTTATATAAATTACAAAAGACAAGACAGTATGAGTAACATCTAGGTATATATATATGGGATGAATTTTTGTGGCTTTTTATGAATAGCTGAACATTTGTTTTCTAATGTCACTATTCCTTTAAAGCTATGTTGAATTTTAGATACAAGGTTCTTAAATAATGATAAAGATTTTATTAATGTGTGATGATACCAGGGGCATCAATTTTTTAATAGATATACAAACTGTCACAATTTAATTTAGAGACAGAAGTCTTGATAGTTGACTTTTACTTTCTGCCAATTCTGATATGAGAGAAATGGTCAATTGTGTAAACAAAATAATTCAACATGAAGGAAACCTCTGTATGTTAATCCCCTACACAATGGCAGGCCATTTTCTTTTCTTTTCTCTTTTTTTTTTTTTTTTTTTTGAGACTGAGTCTCACTCTGTCGCCAGGCTGGAGTGCAGTGGCGTGATCTCAGCTCATTGCATCCTCTGCCTCCCGTGTTCAAGTGATTCTCCTGCCTCAGCCTCCCGAGTAGCTGGGACTACAGGCACACGCCACCAAGCCCAGCTAATTTTTGTATTTTTAGTAGAGATGGGATTTCACCATGTTGGCCAGGATGTTCTCATGATCTGCCTGCCTCAGCCTCCCAAAGTGCTGGGATTACAGGTGTGAGCCACCATGCCCGGCCGCCATTTTCTAATTCTAGGATTTAAGTGGTGAATCAAACAGAGCTCTTGCCTTGATGAGCCTGCAAATTAGTGGGGAAGAATGAATCAACTACATTCATTTTGTTTTAAGTTTTGGGAAAAAATATAGTGTGAACTTAGCACATGTGAGATAAATCCAACCTAGGATGGGGTGGTGTATATTTTGGCTTAGGAATGCTGAGATATGTAGATGAAATTGAGGTGTAGTGGATGCCTTGATTCTCTGCCCAAATTCCCGTTAAGAATGAAGAAAATATTATTGAACCTGCTGCAAGTGCTGTCAGAAGTCAGATCTCAGTTCTCAACCCTTCCTGGAGATCTCTGCTACTGAAAAACACTACTTCATTCAAGTTTATGCCTTTTTCTGGGGGAAGCACACTGAATGAAGCATAAAGACACAGCTGTCCAAGCAAACCTAGGACACATCAAAAGGGCCATTCTAGCTCTAGATTTTCCGCTGGGGTCTGCTGAGGCCTTTGTTGGATGGCATTGCAACTTAGTTTTTCCTACCCACTCCTGATTCATTCTCTACCTTTTCATGGGTATTGATTTAAATAAATCTCTGAGTCAGAGTCTGTTTTTGTGGGACAAACAGCATTATTGGAAGATTGCTAGATTTATTAAAGTATTCCAATAATAGGGATAGAAGTGTCTATCAAGATCTGGAGATGAAGGGAAATTTTTATATTAAAGAAACTTGGAATAAGGATGTCGTGGTCAGTATGGCTGGAGTAATAAGGAGAATGTTTGACACTAGGATATGAGACCCTTGAGGGAAGGTATTTTTGTCACTTAGGTTTACAGACATGAACTTCAATGCATAATTACTACCTGGAGGAAAAAAATGGGAGCATAGAGGGGTGACTTGTGGAAATCAAGGGCAACAATGCAACTGATTCATAGGATGTGGCTAGAAAGAGAAGCAAAAAACACCAGGACTGTCTCATTCTCTTCTCATTCTGTAGAAAGATTTTTCCTCTGCTTTTCAGTTCCATATGTTTGGATTTGTCTACTTCAGACTCTTCTGAATACTATATCAGTCTTGACTCTAAATTCCTAGGAAATGAACTAATACCATGTGGCTCTACTCCTAGCCCATTTAGCAGTGGCCTTGAGGAAAATGTCACATGGCATGTCATCGTTCTTACCCTTCCTCTTTCAGATGAAAGGGCTTTGGAGTTCTTGGGAAACAGAAATAATTGTGGGATTTGCCCATCTTTAAAAAATAAAATGCTTTTTAAGAAAATTTCTAATTTATAGAAAAATTTATAAGATAGCATCAATAATTCCCATATGCTCTATACCAAATTTCTCTTGTAATTAACATTTTACATTAGTATGGTATGTTTGCAACAATAAATGAACCATGATTAATAACCATTATTACCTAGAGTTCATAGTTCATTCCTATTTGCATGGTTTTTACCTATTGCTCTTTTTCTGTTCCAGGATCCCTCATTACATTTAGAAGTTATGTCTCCTTAGGCGATTCTTAATTGTGATAGTTTCTCAGACTTTTCTTGTTTTTGTTCACCTTGATGGTTTTGAGGATGACTGCTCAGGCATTTTGTAGGATGTCCTCTATTGTAATTTGTCCATTTTTATCATAAGTATAGTGGGGTTATGGTTTTGTGACTATAAGCCTAAAGTTTAATTTTCATCCAATCTTAACAAGGGTACATATTGTCAAGATGATTTTTTATTGCTGATGTTGGCCTGATGTCCTGAGAATGTGTTTATCAGGTTTACTCACTATAATGTTATTCTCCTTCCCCCCAACCCCATTATTCTTTCAATAGTGTAGTCTTTGTAAGGAAGTGATTATACATATCCCACACTTAATGTAGTGAGTTATTTTGCCCCTTCTCCTAGAAGGTAGGGTATCTACATAAAAAAAAAACTATTTGGAATTTCCTTGCACAGGGGATTCGAGTCATCTCACCAATTTATTAATGTACTAATAATGTATTGACATCAATATGGAGAGATTTATTTTATACTTTGGGTTATAATCCAAAGCTACTTATATAATTTTGCTCAAATTGTTTCAGCTTTGGCCTTTGGGAGCTCTTATCTGTTTGTTTTGAGTAATTTTAAAATTTCTGAAACACCAAGATATTCAAGGCTTATCTTACATACTTCCCACCCAACTCTTAGTATCAGTTATTTCTCTGGGGAAACCTGGTTCCTTTTATGGGAGAATGATAAGGCAATCAAGATATGGGTGCTAAATTTAGATGCTATTGGTATTCTTTCTTTTAGGCCTTCTCAGTTGATGGAGTAATGAAGTATTTGTGTGGATATGAACCAATATATGAATAAAGAAAGAAAGAAGGAAGGAAGGGAAGAAAGGAAGGCAGGCAGGCAGCGGGAAGGTGAGAAGGAGGGAAAGAAGGAAGGAGGGAAGGAGAGAAGGAAGGAAGGAAGGTAGGTAGGTAGGTTGGTTTCTCTATGTAATCATTTGGATCTATATAAGCCAAACATGAGTTTACACTGAGGTCGCCAACTCTAATTCATTACCGCATATACTATACTATTCTAGAGCCTTCCTTTTGCTTATCTATAAAATCTCACTACAACTTGAGAAACCTCACTCTTTTTTTTTTTCTTTTTCTTTCTTTTTTTTTTTTTTTTTTGAGACAGAGTCTCGCTCTGTCGCCCAGGCTGGAGTGCAGTGGCGCGATCTTGGCTCACTGCAAGCTCTGCCTCCTGGGTTCACGCCATTCTCCTGCCTCAGCTTCCCGAGTAGCTGGGACTACAGGCACCTGCCACCACGCCTGGCTAATTTTTTTGTATTTTTAGTAGAGACGGGGTTTCACCTTGTTAGCCAGGATGGTCTCGATCTCCTGACCTCGTGATCCCACCCGTGTCAGCCTCCCAAAATGCTGAGATTACAGGCGTGAGCCGCCGCGACCGGCCGAGAAACCTCACTCTTATTAGATGTCAATAATTTCCTTAGTTGTTCTGTTTCAATATACATGCATAACAATATCAGAATTGTTAACCACTACCCCCATAGGAAATGTTGTCAACTAGAGTACAGTGCTTATAAGCACCTTGCTTTGCTTTTAGTCTTTCTCATTTATGAAGTTACTTAGGTTAGTACTTTTTCCCACACATCATTTAGTGAGGTTGTTTCATATAATGTAACAGAGTTTTGATTATCAGTGTCTCCATTCTTTCTTGTAATCTCCTTTTCTGTTTAGCTCCTAATAATTTCACTGTACACATTTAAATTGACTTTCTTTTTTGAGACTGGGTCTTGCTCTGTTGCCCAGGCTGGAGTGCAGTGACACAATCATGGCTCTCTGCAGACTCAACCTCCCAAGCTCAAGCAATCTTCCCACCTCTCAGCCTCCCGAGTAGTTGGGACCAAAGGGGTGCGCTGCCATGTCTGGCTAATTTTTTGTATTTTCTGTAGAGACAAGATTTTGCTATGTTGCCCAGGCTTGTTGTGAACTCCTGGGCTCAAGCGATCCTCCTGCCTTGGCCTCCCAAAGTGCTAGGATTACAGGCATCAGACATCATAAGTGGCCAAGGCTCACTATTTGCATTGAATAGTTTTATGAATTTTTACTAATTAATATATGTTGTCATGTACTCACCATTACATAATTATACATTATAGTTTTACTGTAGTAGAACATCCCATATGCTTCATCTAGTCCACTCTCACCCTTTCTTCTATAAATTCCTGGAAACCACTGATCTTTTTTTGTTTTTTGAAACTGAGTCTTGCTCTGTCGCCCCAGGCTGGAGTGCAGTGGCACGATCTCGGCTCACTGCAAGCTCTGCTTCCCAGGTTCACGTCATTCTTCTGCCTCAGGCTCCCGAGTAGCTGGGACTACAGGTGCCCACCACCACACCTGACTAACTTTTTTGGTATTTTTAGTAGATACGGGGTTTCATTGTGTTAGCCAGGATGGTCTTGATCTCCTGGCCTCGTGATCTGCCTGCCTCGGCCTCCCAAAGTGCTGGGATTACGGGCATAAGCCACCGTGCCCAGCCACCACTGATCTTTTTATTGTCTCCACAATTTGGCCTTTCCTGGAATGTCATATAGTTGGAATCCTGTAGTATGCAGACTGTTGAGAATGGCTCATTTTATTTAGCAATAAATATTTAAGGTTTATCCATATATTTCCACAGCTTGGTTATTCATTTTATTTATTAAATTGGCATGTAATAATTGTACATATTTACCAAATACATAGTAATATTTGATTTATATAATGTATAGTAATCAGATCAGGGTAATTAGCATATCCATCATCTTGAACACATTTCTTTTTGTTGGAAACATTTAATATCCTCTTTCTAGCTGTTTGAAACTGTACAATATATTTTTGCCAGCTCTAGTCATCCTATAATTCCATAGAACACTACAACTTATTCTTTCTATCTAGCTGTAAGTCTACATCTTTAAACAAATCTCTATTTCCTCCTCTTTCCCTTACCCTTCTCTGCCTCTAGTATCCTCTGTTCTACTTTCTATATCTATGAGATCAACTTTTTTTAGCTTTTGCATATGAGTGAGAACATGCGGTGTTTAACTTTCTGTTCCTGGCTTATTTCACTTAACATAATGTCCTCCATGCATAGATGTACCACAGTTTGTGTAGCCATTTCCTATAGAAGGACATATTGGTTGTTTCCAGTTTTTGCCAATAATGAACAAAGCTGACATAAACATTCACATGCACACTATGTGTGGATAAAAGTTTCTAAATCAGTTGGCTAAATAACTAGAAGAATGATTGCTGGATCATATGGTATGGCAATGTTTAGCTTTATAAGAAACCGCCCAATTGTCTTCCAAAAGGGTTATATCATTTAAGCTTTCCTACCAGCAATGCATGAGAGTTTGCATTTTTCCTTATATTCACCAGCATTTGATATTGTTAGATTTTTCAGTTTTAGGCATTTTAATAGGTATGCAGTGATATATCATTGTCATTTTAATTTGCATTTCCCTCATGACAAATGATCTTGAGCATCCTTTTGTATGCCTACTTGCCATCTATATGTATAATACACACATATATATATTAAACATACACAAATCATACATATATAAAATATAATTTTTTTGGTGAGGTATCTGCTCAGATCTTTTGCCCATATTTAACTGGGTTGTTTTCTAGTTATTTGTATGCCTAGAATACAATTTCTCTATCAGATTTGTGCTTTACTAATATTTTCTCCCAGCTTATTTTTCATTCTCTTAATGTTGCCTATTGCAGATAATTTTTCTTTTTTAATTAAAAATTAGTTTTGTAAACTTTCTTAGTTTAAAATATTGAGCAGAAAGTATTCCCTCTCTACCCCTACACAGTTTTCCCCATTATTAACCTATTACATTAGTGGAGCATATGTTTATCATTGATCAACCAATATTGAGAAATTATTATTAACGTTGCTAGTCCACATTATGGTACTATTCTGTTGGTTTTGACAATTGCATAAACTCATGTATCCACCATTTCAGGGTTATAATGAATACTTTCACTAACCTACAAATGCCCTGTTCTTCACATATTCATCCCTCTTACCTCCCCATCATCAGCCACTGAACCTCTGGAAACTAAAGTTTTGTAAAAACTGTCTCTATAGTTCTGTCTTGTCCAGAATGTCATATAGTGAGAGTCTTAGAGTATGTAACTTTTTCAGACTGGCTTCTTTCATTTTAGGTTTCTCCATATCTTTTCACAATTTGATGCTTGCAGTCATTCTCTCTACTGCCACCCTGTGAAGAGATGGCTTCCACTATGATTGTAAGTTTCCTGAGGCCTCCCCAGCTATGCATAACTGTGAATAAATTAAACCTATTTTCTTTATAAATACTCAGTCTCAGGTATTCCTTCATAGCAGAGTGAGGAATTTGTTACCACCAGACAAGCCTTACAAGAGCTAATGAGGAAGCACTAAATATGGAAAGGAAAGACTGTTACCAGCCCCTACAAAAACACACTGAAATACACACACCAGTGACACTATAAAGCAACGACATAAATAAGTCTGCAGAATAACCAGCTAACTTAAGGATGACAAGATCAAATCTACATATATCAAAACTAACCTTAAATGTAAATGGGCTAAATGGCCCAATTAAAAGTCACAGAATGGCAAGCTGAATAAAGAACCAAAACTCATTGGTATGCACTCTTCAAGAGATCCATCTCACATGCAATGACACACATAGGCCCAAAATAAAGGAATGAAGAAAAATATCAAGCAAATGGAAAACAGAAAAAAAGCAGGGGTTCCAATCCTAATCCCTGACAAATGTATTTAAACCAACAAAAATCAGAAAAGACAAAGAAGGGTATTACATAATGGTAAAGGGTTCAAGTAAACAAGATCTAATTATCCTAAAAATATGTGCACGCAAGACAGAAGCAATCCGATTCATAAAGCAAGCTCTTAGAGATCTTCGAAGAGACTTAGATTCCCACAAAATAATAGGGGTAGACTTTAACATCCCACTGACAATGTTAGACAGATCATTGAGACAGAAAATTAACAAAGATTATCAGGACCTGAACTTATCACTGGAGCAAATGGACCTGATAGGTATCTACTGAACTTTGCATCCCAAAACAACAGAATACACACTCTTCTCATTGCTGCACGGCATATACACTAAAATCAATCACATTATCACAAGTAAAACACTCCTCAGCCAATGCAAAATAACTGAAATCATAACAGTCTCTTGGATCACAGTGCAATCAAATTAGAAATCAAGACTAAGAAATTCACTCAAAACCACACTATTACATGAAAATTGAATAACCTACTCCTGAGTGACTTTTGGGTAAATAATAAAATTAAGGCAGACATCAAGAAGTTCTTTAAAACTAATGAGAATACACAAAATACCAGAATCTCTGGGGTGGAGCTAAGGCAGTGTTAAGAGGGAAATTTATAGCAATAAATACCCACATCAAAAAGTTAGAAAGACCTTAAGTTAACAACTTAACATCACAACTTAAAAAACTAGAGAACCTAGAGCAAACAAATTTCAAAGCTAGGAGAAGACAAGAAATAACCAAAATCAGAGCTGAGCTTGGGGAGACGGAGATAAAAAAAAAAATCCAAAGATCAACAAATCCAGGAGCTATTATTTGCAAAAATTAATAAAATACATAGACCACTAGCTAGACTAATAAAGAAGAAAAGAGTGATTTAAGTCATTGCAATCAGAAATGACAAGGAGGATATGACCACTGACCCCTCAGAAAACAATCATCAGAAAATACTCTAACACTTCTATGCCTATAAACTAGAAAATCTAGAAGAAATGGATAAATTCCTGGACACATACACCCTCCCAAGACTGAACAAGGAAGAAATAGAATCCTCGAACTGACCAATAATGAGCTATGAAATTGAGGCAGTAATAAATAGCCTACCAACCAAAAAAAGTCCAGGACCAGAGGGATTCACAGCTGAATTCTACCAGATGTACAAAACAAAACAAAACAAAACAAAAAAAACAGCCTGTACCATTTCTACAGAAACAATTCCAAAAAATTGAGGAGGAGGCACCCCTCTCTAACTCCTTCTACAAGGACAGCATCATCCTGACACGAAAACCTGGTAGAGATACCACAAAAAGAAAACTTTAAGCCAGTATTCTTGATGAACATCAATGCAAAAATCCTCAACAAAATGCATGCAAACTGAATGCAGCAGCATATCAAAAAGCTTATCTACCATAATCAAGTAGGGTTTATCCCTGGGATACAAGGTTGGTTCAACATATGCAAATCAATAAATGTGAGTCATCACTTAAACAGAACTAAAGACAAAAACCACACGATTATCTCAACAGATGCAGAAAAGGCTTTGGATAAAATTCAATATATCCATTCACATAAAAAACTCTCAATAAACTAGGTATTGGAGGAACATACCTCAGAATAATAAAAGCCATCCATGACAAACCCACAGCCAACATCATACTGAATGGGCAAAATCTAGAAGTATTCCCCTTGAAAACTGGCACAAGACAAGAATTCCCTCTCTCACCACTCCTATTCAACATAGTATGTGGAAGTCCTAGACAGGGCAATCAGACAAGACAAAGAAATAAGGGGTATCCAAATATGGAGAGGGGAAGCCAAACTATCCCTTTTTGCAGATGACATAATCATATATCTAGAAAAACCCATTGTCTCATCCCAAAAGCTTCTTAAGCTGATAAAAAACTTAAGCAAAGTTTCAGGATACAAAATCAATGTACAAAAATCACCACCAGTCTCCTCCAAAGGAACGCAGCTCCTCACCAGCAACAGAACAAAGTTGGATGGAGAATGACTTTGACGAGTTGAGAGAAGAAGGCTTCAGATGATCAAACTACTCCAAGCTAAAGGAAGAAGTTCGAACCCATGGCAAAGAAGTTAAAAACCTTGAAAAAAAATTAGACGAATGGCTAACTAGAATAACCAATGCAGAGAAGTCCTTAAAGGACCTGATGGAGCTGAAAACCAAGGCATGAGAACTACGTGACGAATGCATATGCCTCAGTAGCCGATTCGATCAACTGGAAGAAAGGGTATCAGTGATGGAAGATCAAATGAATGAAATGAAGCGAGAAGTTTAGAGAAAAAAGAATAAAAAGAAATGAACAAAGCCTCCAAGAAATATGGGACTATGTGAAAAGACCAAATCTATGTCTGATTGTTGTACCTGAAAGTGATGGGGAGAATGGAACCAAGTTGGAAAACACTCTGCAAGATATTATCCAGGAGAACATACCCAATCTAGCAAGGCAGGCCGACATTCAAATTCAGGAAATACAGAGAATGCCACAAAGATACTCCTGGAGAAGAGCAACTCCAAGACACATAATTGTCAGATTCACCAAAGTTGAAATGAAGGAAAAAATGTTAAGGGCAGCCAGAGAGAAAGGTTGGGTTACCCACAAAAGGAAGCCCATCAGACTAACAGCTGATCTCTCGGCAGAAACTCTACAAGCCAGAAGAGAGTGAGGGCCAATATTCAACATTCTTAAAGAAAAGAATTTTCAACCCAGAATTTCACATCCAGCCAAACTAAGCTTCATAAGTGAAGGAGAAATAAAATCCTTTACAGACAAGCAAATGCTGAGAGATTTTGTCATCACCAGGCCTGCCCTAAAAGAGCTCCTGAAGGAAGTGATGAACATGGAAAGGAACAACCAGTACCAGCCACTGCAAAAACATGCCAAATTGTAAAGACCATCGAGGCTAGGAAGAAACTGCATCAACTAACGAGCAAAATAACCAGCTAATGTCATAAGGGCAGGATCAAATTCACACATAACAATATTAACTTTAAATGTAAATGGGGTAAATGTTCCAATTGAAAGAAACAGACTGGCAAATTGGATAAAGAGTCAAGACCCATCAGTGTGCTGTATTCAGGAAAACCATCTCATGTGCAGAGACACACATAGGCTCAAAATAAAGGGATGGAGGAAGATCTACCAAGAAAATGGAAAACAAAAAAAGGCAGGGTTTGCAATTCTAGTCTCTGATAAAACAGACTTTAAACCAACACAGATCAAAAGAGACAAAGAAGGCCATTACATAATGGTAAAGGGATCAATTCAACAAGAAGAGCTAACTATCCTAAATATATATGCACCCAATACAGGAGGACCCAGATTCATAAAGCAACTGCTTAGAGACCTAGAAAGAGACTTAGACTCCCACACAATAATAATGGCAGACTTTAACACCCCACTGTCAACATTAGACAGATCGACAGAAAGTTAACAAGGATATCCAGGAATTGAACTCAGCTCTGCACCAAGCGGACCTAATAGACATCTACAGAACTCTCCACCCCAAATCAACAGAATATACATTCTTCTCAGCACCACACCACACTTATACCAAAATTGACCACATAGTTGGAAGTAAATCACTCCTCAGCAAATGTAAAAGAACAGATATTATAACAAACTGTCTCTCAGACCACAGTGCAATCACATTATAACTCAGGATTAAGAAACTCACTCAAAACCGCTCAACTACATGGAAACTGAACAACCTGCTCCTGAATGACTACTGGGTACATAACGAAATGAAGGCAGAAATAGAGATGTTCTTTCTAACCACTGAGAACAAAGACACAACATACCAGAATCTCTGGGACACATTCAAAGCAGTGTGTAGAGGAAAATGTATAGCACTAAATGCCCGCAAGAGAAAGCAGGAAAGATCTAAAATTGACACCCTAACATCACAATTAAAAGAACTAGAGAAGCAAGAGCAAACACATTCAAAAGCTAGCAAAAGGCAAGAAATAACTAAGATGAGAGCAGAAGAGAAGGAAATCGAGACACAAAAAACCCTTCAAAAAATCAATGAATGCAGGATCTGGTTTTTTGAAAAGATCAACAAAATTGATAGACTGCTAGCAAGACTAATAAAGAAGAAAATAGAGAAGAATAAAATAGATGCAATAAAAAATGATAAAGGGGATATCACCACCTCACCACCGATCCCACAGAAATACAAACTACCATCAGAGAATACTACAAACACCTCTACACAAATAAACTAGAAAATCTAGAAGAAATGGATAAATTCCTTGACACATACACCCTCCCAAGACTAAACCAGAAAGAAGTTGAATCTCTGAATAGACCAATAACAGACTCCGAAATTGAGGCAATAATTAATAGCCTACCAACTAAAAAAAGTCCAGGACCAGATGGATTCACAGGCGAATTCTACCAGAGGTACAAGGAGGAGCTGGTACCATTCCTTCTGAAACTATTCCAATCAATAGAAAAAGAAGGAATCCTCCCTAACTCATTTTATGAGGCCAGCATCATCCTGATACCAAAGCCTGGCAGAGACAGAAACAAAAAAGAGAATTTTAGATCAATATCCCTGATGAATATCGATGCAAAAATCCTCAATAAAATACTGGCAAACTGAATCCAGCAGCACATCAAAAGGCTTATCCACCATGGCCAAATGGGCTTCATCCCTGGGATGCAAGGCTGGTTCAACATACTCAAATCGGTAAACGTAATCCAGCATATAAACAGAACCAATGACAAAAAACCATATGATTATCTCAATAGATGCAGAAAAGGCCTTTGACAAAATTCAACAGCCCTTGTGCTAAACTCTCAATAAATTAGGTATTGATGGGATGCATCTCAAAATAATAAGAGCTCTCTATGACATACCCACAGCCAATATCATACTGAATGGGCAAAAACTGGAAGCATTCCCTTTGAAAACTGGCACAAGACAGGGATGCCCTCTCTCACCACTCCTGTTCAACATAGTGTTGGTTCTGGCCATGGCAATCAGGCAGGAGAAGGAAATAAAGGGTATTCAATTAGGAAAAGAGGAAGTCAAATTGTCCCTGTTTGCAGATGACATGATTGTATATCCAGAAAACCCCATTGTCTCAGCCCAAAATCTCCTTAAGCTATAGGCAACTTCAGCAAAGTCTCAGGATACAAAATCAATGTACAAAAATCACAAGCATTCTTACACACCAATAACAGACAAACAGAGAGCCAAATCATGAGTGAACTCCCATTCACAATTGCTTCAAAGAGAATAAAATACCTAGGAATCCAACTTACAAGGGATGTGAAGGACCTCTTCAAGGAGAACTACAAACCACTGCTCAACGAAATAAAAGAGGATACAAACAAATGGAAGAACATTCCATGCTCATGGGTAGGAAGAATCAATATCGTGAAAATGGCCATACTGCCCAAGGTAATTTATAGATTCAATGCCATCCCCATCAAGCTACCAATGACTTTCTTCACAGAATTGGAAAAAACTACTTTAAAGTTCATATGGAACCAAAAAAGAGCCCGCATTGCCAAGTCAATCTTAAGCCAAAAGAACAAAGCTGGAGGCATCACTCTACCAGACTTCAAACTATACTCCAAGGCTACAGTAACCAAAACAGCATGGTACTGGTACAAAACAGAGATATAGACCAATGGAACAGAACAGAGCCCTCAGAAATAATGCCGCATATCTACAACTATCTGATCTTTGACAAACCTGAGAAAAACAAGAAATTGGGAAAGGATTCCCTATTTCATAAATGGTGCTGGGAAAACTGGCTAGCCATATGTAGAAAGCTGAAACTGGATCCCTTCCTTACACCTTATACAAAAATTAATTCAAGATGGATTAAAGACTTAAATGTTAGACCTAAAACCATAAAAACCCTAGAAGAAACCTAGGCAATACCATTCAGGACATAGGCATGGGCAAGGACTTCATGTCTAAAACACCAAAAGCAATGGCAACAAAAGCCAGAATTGACAAATGGGATCTAATTAAACTAAAGAGCTTCTTCACAGCAAAAGAAACTACCATCAGAGTGAACAGGCAACCTACAGAATGGGAAAAAATTTTTGCAATCTACTCATCTGACAAAGGGCTAATATCCAGAATCTACAATGAACTCAAACAAATTTACAAGAAAAAAACAAACAACCCCATCAACAAGTGGGTGAAGGACATGAACAGACACTTCTCAAAAGAAGACATTTATGCAGCCAAAAGACATATGAGAAAATACTCATCATCACTGGCCATCAGAGAAATGCAAATCAAAACCACAATGAGATACCATCTCACACCATTTAGAATGGTGATCATTAAAAAATCAGGAAACAACAGGTGCTGGAGAGGATGTGGAGAAATAGGAACACTTTTACACTGTTGGTGGGACTGTAAACTAGTTCAAAGCATTGTGGAAGTCAGTGTGGTGATTCCTCAGGGATCTAGAACTAGAAACACCATTTGACCCAGCCATCCCATTACTGAGTATATACCCAAAGGATTATAAATCATGCTGCTATAAAGACACATACACACATGTTTATTGCGGCACTATTCACAATAGTAAAGACTTGGAACCAACCCAAATGTTCAACAATGATAGACTGGATTAAGAAAATGTGGCACATATACACCATGGAATACTATGCAGCCATAAAAAGTGATGAGTTCATGTCCTTTGTAGGGACATGGATGAAGCTGGAAACCATCATTCTCAGCAAACTATCTCAAGGACAAAAAACCAAACACCACATGTTCTCACTCATAGGTGGGAATTGAACAATGAGAACACATGGACAAAGGAAGGGGAACATCACACACCGGGGACTATTGTGGGGTGGGGGGACGGGGGAGGGATAGCATTAGGAGATATACCTAATGTTAAATGACGAGTTAATGGGTGTAGCACACCAACATGGCACATGTATACATATGTAATTAACCTGCACTTTGTGCGCATGTACCCTAAAACTTAAAGTATAATAATAATAATAATAATAAAAAGAGTAAAACCAACAGCCAAATCAGGAACAAAATCCCATTCACAATTGTCACAAAAAAGAATAAAATACCAAGGAATATAGCTAACTAGGGAGGTGAAAGATCTCTACAAGGAGGACTACAAATCACTGTTTAAAGAAATCAGTGATGACATAAACAAATGGAAAAACACTCTATGCTCATGGATAGGAAGAATCAATATTGTTAAAGTGGCCATACTTCCCAAAGCAATTTATAGAATTAATGCTATTCCTATTAAACTACCACTGAGATTCTTCACAGAACTAGAAAAAATCGATTTTAAAATTCAAATGTAACCAAAAACAAGTCCAAATAACCAAGGCAATTCTAAGCAAAAATAACAAGGCTGGAAACATCACATTACCCAACTTCAAACTATACTAAAGGCTTACAGTAACCAAACAGCATGGTACTGGTACAAAAACATATACATAGACCAATGGAACAGAATAGAGAACCCAGACATAAGGCCACACACTTACAACTATCTTATATTTGACAAAACTGACAAAAACAAGCAATGGGAAAAAGACTCCTTATTCAATAAATGGTGCTGGGATAACTGGCTAGCCATATGCAGGATTGAAATTGGACCCCTTCCTTACCTCATATACAGAAATTAACTCAAGATGAATTAAAGACTTAAATGTAAAACCCCAAACTATAAAAACCCTGGAAGACAACCAAGGCAATACCATTCAGGACATAGGCATGGGCAAAGATTTAATGATGAAGATGCCCAAAGCAATTGCAACAAAAGCAAAAATTGACACATGGGATCTAACTAAAGAGTTGCACAGCAACAAACAAACAAAAACTATCAACACAGCAAACAGACAACCTACAGAATGGGAGAACATGTTTGCAAATTATGCATCCAACAAAGGTCTAATATCCAGCATCTATAAGGAACTTAAATTTACAAGAAAACCAACCCCATTAAAAAGTGGGCAAAGGACATGAACAGACACTTCTCAACAGAAGTCATACATGTGGCCAACAAGCACATAAAAACAAGCTAAACATGATCATTAGAGAAATGCAAATCAAAACTAAAGTGAGATACCATCTCACACCAGTCAAAATGTCTCTTATTAAAAAGTCAAGTCTGGGCACGGTGGCTCACGCCTGTAATCCCAGCACTTTGGGAGGCTGAGGCAGGCGGATCATGAGGTCAGGAGATCAAGACCATCCTGGCTAACACGGTGAAACCCTGTCTCTGCTAAAAATACAAAAAATTAGCCGGGCATGGTGGCTGGCACCTGTAGTCCCAGCTACTTGGGAGGCTGAGATGAAAGAATGGCATGAACCTGGGAGGTGGAGCCTGCAGTGAGCCGAGACTGTTTCACTGCACTCCAGCCTGGGCGACAGAGTGAGATTCCATCTTAAAAAAAAAAAAAAAAAAAAGGTCAAAAAATAGGCCAGGCACGGTGGCTCACACCTGTAATCCCAGCACTTTGGAAGGCTGAGGTGGGCGGATCACGAGGTCAGGAGATCGAGACCATCCTGGCTAACACGGTGAAACCCCGTCTCTACCAAACAAAATACAGAAAATTAGCCAGGTGTGGTGGCAGGCACCTGTAGTCCCAGCTACTCGGGAGGCTGAGGCAGGAGAATGGCGTGAACCCGGGAGGCGGAGCTTGCAGTGAGCCAAGATCACACCACTGCACTCCAGCCTGGGCAACAGAGCAAGACTCCGTCTCAAAATAAATAAATAAATAAATAAATAAATAAATAAATAAATAAATAACAGATGCTGGCAAGGTTGTGGAGGAAAAGGAATGCTTATACATTGTTGGTGGGAGCATAAAATAGTTTAACCATTATGGAAGACAGTGTGGCAATTCCTCAAAGACTTAAAGACAGAAATACCATTCGACCAGCAATCCCAATACTGAGTATACACCCAAAAGAATATATATCATCCCATTATAAAGACACATGCATGTGTATGTTCATTACAGCACTATTCAAAATAGCAAAGACATGGAGTCAACCTAAATGCCCATCAATAATAGACTGGATGAATAAAATGTGGTACATATACACTGTGGAATACTGTGCAGCCATAAAAATGAGATCACATCATCGTAGGGACATGGGTGGATCTAGAGGCCATTATCCTCAGCAAACTAATGCCGGAACAGAAAACCAAATATCACATGTTGTCACTTACAAGCGGTAAATAATCAGAACACATGAACACATAGAGGGGAACAACACACACTGGGGCCTAATGGAGAGTGGAGGGTTGAAGGAGGAAGAGGATCAGAAAAAAACAACTAATGAGTATTAGGCTTAATACCTGTATGACGAAATAATCTGTACAACAAATCTGCATGACGCAAGTTTACCTATGTAACGAACCTGCACATGTACCCCTGAACTTAAAAGTCAAAGAAAATAAGTATTAGAAAAAATCCTTCAGTAAAAAGGAATAATCAAGTTAATTGTATCAGTAATGAAGAAAATACTAAAGTGTTATGATAACTCTTGCTTCTAACCTATCCAAATCTTCTAAAACTTATCTATGTATACTGTGTTTACCTTCTTGGTTCCATATTGAGCTGTATCTGAGCTCTCGACTATAATTAATCCAAATGGAAATATGCTTGTGCATCATGCTTCTCAAAGATACAGCATAAAAAGAGGAAGTAGGCCAGGTGCGGTGGCTCACGCCTGTAATCCCAGCACTTTGGGAGGCCAAGGCAGGCGGATCACAAGGTCAGGAGATCGAGACCATCCTGGCTAACATGGTGAAACCCCATCTCTACTAAAAATACAAAAAATTAGCCAGGTGTGGTGGCAGGTGACTGTTGTCCCAGCTACTCCGGAGGCTGAGGCAGAAGAATGGCGTGAACCCCGGGAGGCCGAGCTTGCAGTGAGCCGAGATTGCTCCACTGCAGTCCAGCCTGGGGGAGAGAGCGAGACTCTGTCTCAAAAAAAAAAAGAGAAAGTAAAATATTTCAATAACTTGTCTATAGTTAACATGTTGAAATTATAATATTTTGGATATACTCAGTTAAAATACAGTTAAAAGAAGAAACAGACAAAATTAATTTACTTTAAAAATGTGCTATTAAAAATCTAAATTTATATATGTTGTTTGCATTGTATTTCTAACGAAGAGCAAGCACCGGTTAGTACCAAAACTTGATTTTAATGTCTTGAAGTTAGGGAACCTAAAGAATTTGAGGAATAATCAAAAGCAGTTGGTAAATGGTTTGAAACTGTGGTTTCATAGAAGGTCTACCAAATCAAATGTTTGAACATTAACACAAGTTGCTGAGACAGAGTCAGGAAAAAGGGTAACTGGAAATGAGGGAGGTCAATGAATGAGAATGTTGGATGATTTATTTATTTGATATATGAAGACTTGAAAAATTATAAGAGTTGAGGAAACATAGGAACTAGGATATAAAGCTTTTATAAATGTGGGGAGTGATCAAATATCAATAAAGGAAAGCAACAAATAGAATGATTCTGTGTGTATATGTATGTTTGTGTTCAATAACATTTAGCCTGAGCAAGGTGGCTCAAACCTATAGTCCCAGCACTTTGGGAGGCCAAATCAGGAGGATCGCTTGAGTCCAGGAGTTCAAGACCAGCCTAGGCAGCAGAGTGAGATCCCATCTCAAAAAAAAATTTGAAATTAGGTGTGCACGGTGATGTTGCTCTGTAGTCCCAGCTACTCAGGAGGCTGAGGTTGGAAAATTGCTTGAGTCCCAGAGGTTGAGGCGGCAGGGAGCCATGATCATGCTACTGCACTGGGTGCCTGGGTGACAGAGCAAGACCCTGTTTCAAAAAAATTAAATATTTATAGGTGACTATAGGTATGTATATATCAAAGTGTGTATAGACAGATTTATCTATCTATCTATCTATCTAGAGAGAAAGTCAGTGTCATGAGGCTCAAAGTGACAAAGACTATAAGAGGAGGAATAATGTTTTGACAGGGACACAAATCCTAGCTTCAAGCTCTATGGTACACAGTGTTTGATGAAACACAAACAAGTGTTAGCTTGAAAGAACAATGGGAAAAGTAGTATCCTAGGGTACCAAACATATTTCAATTTAAAAAATAAAGGCTAAAGGGCATACATTCTCATAAGATATTAAGAAAATTGCCACCAATAGTGAAGATGATCACAAAGTTCCAGTGGAAGAGAAAGGAATTGGATCTAAGTGGAAGATGTGTAGAAAATTATAGAAGTGAGTAACTGAATCTTGTTTGATAATGGGAAGAATCTGACTTCTGGCAGTGACTGAGGTAAGCAGGAAAATAGGAATGGGACTAATATAGAGTGTCTTGAAAAAGTTACGAATATGCTACTGCAAGCTATGCTGCTCTAGCATATTGGTAATATTGAGTTAAAGGCACTGGAGAAACAGCAGATGCAACAGGATCACTCTAACTTTCATTCCATTTCTTGAAAGTAGGAGATGGAATTTTGATGTGAAAGATGCCCTTCCTATACTAGAAAAAAAGTATCATTCTGATCAAAAAGAATGAAGAGTTGACGTGAGGGAAATCTGTAGAAACATTGTTAGACTAACACTTATCTTTTTAGCCACTTCTTTACTCAATTAACTACTCTAGTCCAAACCCCTTAGCCTTATCACATATTCACAAGTTACCACTCTTTGTCTAATTCAGGAAGTGCTCAACTCTGTGTCTTTGGGTCCTCACTTTTAAATGAAAGCTCTGTGACATACAAAGCATGTATCAAATACATTTGTATGTTTTTTCTCTTGATTTGTGTTATACCAATTCAATTCTATGGCCAAGCCCCAAAAAACCCTAAAGCAGGTAGAGGTATACATTTCCTCCTTTACTGTCTTTATGTGAAAAGTAAGCCATAAGACCCTGTGGTTCAATAAACTTTCCTTAGTGGTGTGATGTACTATGGGGCAGTATATCTCAAGATTGTAGGTTTTAAGAAGGCAACCTTTTGAGTTTGGGTCTCAGATAAAAATGCTGACTTACATGTAGTATATTTTTTGTCAATTACCACTCTCAAGACTGATTCCTCAAGAAGGGAATATTGCATAATGTTTATACTACTGGTTGTAGACTCAGACACATGTGGTTTTAAATCATGATTTTGTTGTTGTCTTGTTTTTTTTTTCTTGTTGTTACTAGCTATACAGTCTTGAAGAAGTTACTTGAGCTCTCCAAGTCTCGTTTTTCTCCTTAAAAAGAATGAAGGTATTACTGTAGGATGGCTACAGCTAAAAATAATATGTTAATATGTTATATAGTTTCAAAAAGCTAGAAAGAGGATAGTGACTATTTTAAACAAAAAGTAATGATAAATTTCTGAGATGATGGATATGGGAAATACCCTGATCTGATTACTACACATTATATGTGTCAAAACATCACTATGTACCCTATGAATATGTACAATCATTTGTCAATTAAGAAATTAAATTTAAAAAAAGAGAAAATGTCAGCCTACAAAAATGGAGGTATTAATAGTATGCCTTTCATGGGGTCCTTGTGAAAATTAAGCTAATTCATAAAAAGCAGTACTTAGCAAAGTGTCTGGCACAATAAAAGGAAACAGTAGAATGAGGACTATTATTATTACTGTCTCTTTAAACTCAAATGAGCTAATTCTGAATTATCTTATCCATTTTCAACCTTTGTCATTCCAGACTTTAAAAGTGCATTGATTTTCCTTTCTTTTCTTTCTTCTTCTTATTTTTTCTATTAGGGAAGAATATTATGGAGAAAGTAATTTAGTCTCTCCATTAGCCCCCAGGAGGCCTATACTTAATATGTGTCTTTCTGCCAACAGGAAAACTATTCATTCTGAATCTATCACATATCATCTTTCCCACAATTTGCCTGACTGTATCTTCCTATTTTTTTGATAACTGTGTGAAGACTTGTGGCTCCTTTCTTCATTACCATATGTTGTAGCTGAAAGTAAATTCAGGATAATCTGTACACTGGATATGATTTAAGAATTTTAGAAATGAACATTATCTATTGGTGACTCAATTATAAATCAAATATTTAGAGAGAGAGAAAAACATATCTAATGAAACTAAGACATCTGCTGCTTTAAACTGACAAGGATTTAAGTCAATTTATCAGTTACAAGTTTCTTTGTAAAAAATCAGTGACTCCTTGTCAGTCTTCCCTAGATTAAATTTGATATTACTAAACATGATTGATGCTATTTAAATATTCTACATCTCTGTAGCTCATGGTTGGCTTTATTTGATTATAGTATAACACCTTCAATTATAGCTTGGGTTTTTATTCCTTTTTGCAATTTGAATTTTATTTTTCAAGTGATTTGCTTAAATTATTGGTAACACTAATAAAGTTGCCTTGGTGTGTCATTTTCTTACAGGCTGAACAAAGTGCTTAAAACCTTAATTATCTAGCTTTTATTTTCTTTGAAGATCTTATGTCTAGCAGTGCAAGTCTGTTGTGTGTTAATTACTGTATACTTGCTGAAATATTTTCAAAATCTCTTTTTAAATTTTAAGAACTGGATTTCCTACTACCAAAATGCAGTACATAGTTGAAAAAGTAATATTAGACTCAAAGCCATTTGTGATAACACTGTTAGAATTGAAGTAAATGATCTGAAGCTAGCAAAAGTTTAGTTCTAGCTTAATCTTTTCATTTCAACTTCTGATAATACTCTCTTTGCCATTTTACTGGAGTTTTAGGGTGTTCTGAATTCCTCTTTCCCTTTTACTCAGAAGTATAGAGTTTTCTGTAAAGCTGTTTAGTAAACTAATTAAATAACTTAATGAGATATAAGCTTGGCAGGTAAGATAGCCTGGGATAAGTATAGGACCTAAGGGAGAAAATACCTGGGTTTTTGCTCTTTGCCAGCCATATAATCTTGAGTAATTTGCATAACCTGTTTTGAGCCCAGATTTTTGTTCATTTGTTTGTTTAATACACTAAATGGGATTATAAATCAAACTTCAAATAATTCTTGTGAGAGACAAAAATAAATCAAATGTGAGGCACAATACCTCATAAAAAATAGATGTCCAATATACTGCAGAACATTTTTCATTAACCCATTTGTCCTACATAATGCCTAATTTTAGATTTTATCTTCATGAAAAATATCTATTGTACTGAATTATATTGATAAGTTTATAAAAGGTTCAAACATACACTACAAGCTGCTGAAAATAATCCCACATTTCATCACTGTAACAGACCAGAGACATATATAAATCACTGGGTCACTGAAAATCTTAAAACTTTAATATACCTGGAGTCATTAGGAATTGTCTTGCCTAAAACTCTAGTTGTGGATTTGGGAAGATTATTCTGGCATTTCTGAATGTTTTTCTGAACAAAGTTCTCTTATAGTGTTTCCATCTGGGTCAGAAAAATGTATTTACATTTCAGAATGGTAAAGTTTCCCTCTTTTCTCTAGAGATTTGCTCACATCCCAGAGTAATAAATAATGTATTCTTTCAGGCAAACATAAAGAAGGTGTGTCAGCAATTCCTTCCAAAGCTGATTGTTCCTCAGCTGTGAAGCATAAACAGTGCAGCATCCCTTTAGATAATCTCTGTATCACCTCTTAATGACACTTGAGGAGCAAAGGGAACCATGCAACAAGAAGCTTTTGCTTTATGTTGTGCTATGGGTAATAAGTTATCTAAATCAATTTATGCAAACTGTATTTTTTCCAACGCAAGTTAAGGAAGTGTGGCAAGTCAGTCTAGTGGTTACTGTGATGCTTGGCTATTACTTGACTGCTTGACTTTTTTTTGAGATGGAGTTTTGCTCTGTCACCCAGGCTGGAGTGCAGTGGCACCATCTCAGCTCACTGCAACCTCCACCTCCTGGGTTCAAGTGATTTTTCTGCCTCAGCCTCCTGAGTAGCTGGGATTACAGGTGCACACCACCACGCCTGGCTATTTTTTTTTTTTTTTTTGTATTTTTAGTAGAGACAGGATTTCACGATGTTGGTCAGGCTGGTGTCAAACTCCTGACCTTCTGATCTGCCTGCCTTGGTCTCCCAAAGTGCTGGGATTACAGGTGTGAGCCACCACGCCAGCCTGACTGCTTGGTTTAACATGAATTAGGTGATTTCTCAGGAGCTTTTTGAGTATGGTCAGTGTGAGGCATTTCCTCCAAAGATTGGGGATGAACACCAATTTCTGATTTTAGAATTTTTGTTCCAAATTATCTTTGTCATAATACATCTAAGTTATGTTTCGGCATATGAGTAGTTTACCTTAAAAACAAAATCCACAAATGTGTAAAATGGGCCCAATTGTCCCAGAGAACTGATGTTTACATCTCCTTTTAAATAAACATTCAAATTGACCTTCCCAGTTTCAAAACTTGAAAAAGTTACACTTGTATTATCTGAGTTCCTTTCTCAGGAAATGGACCCTCAGGACTCCCAGAGAATATCAGGGATCTCAAACTAACCAGATCACTGCATCTGGACAATGGGATGCTGAACCCTTCACCCATCATGATTGCCTAACCAATCACTAACTTCCTGTTGACCAACTACTTTTTCTTACCCCTTACCAATTCCTGTTTTTTCATACCTGCTTACATTTCTGCTATATAAACCTTTAATTTTAGTTGGTTGAAAATATGTATTTGAAACCAATCTCCCATCTCCTTGACTGTGGCACCCAAATAAAGCCTTCTTTCCTGGCACTCCTCATTGTCTCAGCAATGGGCTTTCTGTGCTGCAAGTAAAGGGACCTATATAGAACCCCTAGTGTTTCAGTTACAAGTGTACAGATAAATTCACATTCCAATAGCGGGAGAGAGATAAAACAATTCGGATTGCAATTACAGTTCTGCCTTTTTTGATCTTGGGCCTCACTTACTGTCTATATGTTGAAGAGGTAAGCGTTTTAAAGTGCTTTAAATAAAGTTTCATGGAAATAAAAAGTAGATTTGTTATTATTAACATATTATTACTATATACTCTCTTGAATCCTGGATAGTTTTGAAATTTTAGCAAACTTGAAAAAAATTAAAGTTGGTGATTATGGATATTCAAAATCAAGTCTTTCTTAATAAGTCTGTAACATTATTAGCTCACAGAAAAGTAGAATTTGCGATGCAGAAGAACCACAGCCATGAACCTATAAGTATTCCCAAAATGTTTAGTGTTTGTCTAGTTGGTGTTAGATATTCATTTTCACCCTCACAGATCTTCAGTCAATGAGATACAATTTAACTAGGTTAATAATCATTGAGGACCAACCACCTATAATCTTCCAGATTGGACTCTGTGAGGGAATTTGAAATAAGTAATTCATAGTTCCTCAGGGAGCTCATTATTTTGTAGAATGTAGCATCAAAAATATCAAGCACCAAAAGACAAAAAGACAAAGAAGATCTAAGGAAATCAAAACCCTGAATAGCAGTGGAGATGTGAATATTTATTTGCTAATAAATATTGAGCATCTAATATATATCAGATTATATAAAAGGTTATTTTATGTTATTAATATCAAGTCTAACTTTAATAAAACTTAATTATTACAATCCATTTCATAAATAAGGAAACTGATGTTTCCACAGTAAGACATAAAGAGGCAGTCGGTCATTTTAAATCCATGTTTTTCTGGCTCAGATCTACATTGTATTCTTACATTACATGTCTATTTAGAGTTATGGATGAAGTTCATGAAAATGTTGGTTCTGCTTGGATAAACCATGGAGATTAAGCAAGTCAATGCAAATAGTTTAAAATAATTGTGTGTATAATAGCATTTTAGGTATGTACCAAGAAAGAATGCAAAACTGGTATTATCTTTAAAAATCCTAAAACCTAATATAGCAGTGATAGCGACAAGAGGCAGAGAAATTCTAGGCAGACAGGGGCAAGTCCCTGGCAAAGCCCCACCCTCAAGCCAAAAAGTCTGAGATTGTGGCACCCAAAGTGAGAACTTATATTCCTGTTTTCTTGCTCAAATGTTGCTTTTTCCTGAACCACATATGGCCCCACCCCACCCCATCCTGTGCCTATAAAGACCCCAGACTCAGCTGGCAGAGAGGAGAAGCAGCTGGACATTGAAGACTATGGCCAGATGTCAAAGAGAAGCAGTTTGACTTCAGAGGGACAGCTTGATAATGTAACTTTGAAGAATCTAGTCAGAGACAGTTAGACTTCAGGGGAAGATTACCTACCCCTGACCCAGTCCCCTTTTCAGCTCCCCTTCCTGCTGACAGCCACTTTCATCATCAATAAAATCCCCCGCATTTACCATCCTTCAATTCGTTCATGCGACCTCATTTTTCCTGGACACCAGACAAGAGCTTGGGAGCCATGAGTGTAGATGCAAAGTGCTGTCACACTGGCCCTTTGCCCTCACTGGCGGAGGGCAGCCGTGGGCCCACTGAGCTGTTAACACTTAAGTCATTTGTGGATGACAGAGCTAACTTAGCACTGTAATATGTCCTCTGGGGCTTCAGGAGTTGCAGGCATGCCACCTGGATGCCCCTCCAGGGCCCACAGGGTTCACTCATGCCAGAGCCCAAAAGCACTCACTCTGGCTTCCGCACCTGTTCACCTGCATGCTCCCTCCCATGAGGGATGGAATGCAGCAGGTCCCAGTGAATGGAGTTTGATCCTGTAGGTACCAAAACAGCCAGGTGGTTCCAATGGTCATGCACTCCAGTTCCTGCTCATGCACTTCCTTGTTTGCTCATGCACTTCCTCCTGTGAGGAGTTGAGAGTGGCAGGTTGAGTAAACGAGGCACCCTTGTTGTGAGTCCCATGAAGGGGTCAGGGAAATAACCTGCTTTAGCAGCTCTCATTGTTTACCACTGAAGCTACAGGTGAATTGATCTATCTACTGTATCAATTTATGAAAATTTCAGTTAAAAATACCTATATCAGGTGATGTCAGGTTTACCAGAAATACTTGTGCATTTGTCAATGTTTTTTTTGTTTCTTCATGTCAGTCATCCATCTCTGTACCTTTCATTTTACTCACTGTTTTTGTATATACTCTAGATTTTCAGTGATCATCTTGTAATGCAAAGGTATTTGTTGATATTGGCTAAAACATACACTCTTAAAACTAGCAATTGGAATTTATATTTACAATAAAAAACAAATGACTAAATACTATCAAATTTGCATATTACTAAAATATTATGCTTTTCTTCATTTGGTAAATTTATAAGTACAACTATTTTTATTTTTAAAAAGGGGCATAATATTACCTTTAATTTCTTGCTTGGAGTGGTGCTTAACAAGCCATTTAATATCTTCAATTCCCACCATGCTTATCCATTTATAAAATGGGTATAAAATGTGGTCAATAAGCACATAAAAGGATGTTCAACATCAGTAATCATTAAGAAAATGCAAATCAAAACTACAGTGATACTTACCTCACACCCATTGGATGGCTATTATTAAAAACAAAAACAAAAACAAAACACAGTAGGCAAGGATGTAGAGAAAATGGATCTTGTGTATAATGTAGGTGGGACTGTAAAATGTTACAGTCACTGTGGAAAACAGTATGGCAATTCCTCAAAAAATGTCAAAATTACCATATGATCCACCAGTTCCACTTCTAGGTATTTACCAAAAAGGGTTGAAAGAAGAGTCTTGAAGAGATATTTGTACACCTATGTTTATAGCAGTTTTACTCACATTAGCTAAAACATTGAAGCAATCCAAGTATCTATTAATATGCAAATAGCTAAGCAAAATATGGTATCTACTTACAATGGAATATTATTCATCTTTTAAAAGGAAGAAAAATCTGGCATATGCTAAAATATGAGTAAACCTCGAGGACATTATGCTAAGTGAAGTAAGCCAGCCACACAAAGATAAATACCACTTATGTAAGTATGATACCACTTATATGAGATACTTAAAAGTAGTCAAAATGATAGAGACAGAAAGTAGAATGGTGATTTCCAGGGACTGGGAGGGAGGAATAATGCCATTTGTAGGGTTTAAGTTTTGTAGGATGAAAAGAGTTCTGGTAAAGGATTGTACTGATGGTTGCACAATATAAATGTAGTACTATAGTCCTGTACACTGAAACATGGTTAACACAGAAAAAATTGTTATATTTTCCTACAATAAAACATGGAAAGAAAAGGGCACAAAATAGCCTGTGTGGCCTAACCCTTTAGATAATAAAATATTCAAATCCTTTTTTGATCGAGATTCGACCATGACATGTAATGCTCAAAGAATGGTCTTTAGAAATTAATTTCAAGATTTAAAAAAAAATCTTCACAGTTATACAAATTATTTTATTTCTTTGCTCTAGTTCTCTTTTGTTGAATTGCAATGTTTCATTGTTGCATATTTCATATGTATTTTTTGATTTAGAAAACCATTTTTTCTAAATATTTGTATATCAGTTTAAAAATGATAGTCATTTTATATCTATTTGAGTTTTTATGTTAAGCATATGTCAACCTTTCTGATAGCAAAAAGTAGTTCTGTGGATAGAAAAAATTCAAAATGGTATTTTATTACTAACCATAATTTTCTCTTTATTTCGGAATTTTTGTTTTTCTATACTTTTCTAGCACATCGTATATTTTATCTAAATGTAATTGCTTAAAATAGTCAGCATTCTTATGTCAAATATAAAATGTGCTTCATCAATATGTTCCATCTTTAGAGAGATTCAGAAGATCTCATACATAATCTTTGAATTTCCCCAAAGATGTCATTATTTGGCACAGTTGAGGTTCTGTCTCCCAGTAAATATTCAAACTCTGGTCACTCACAGCCAGAGTGCTTCTGGATTTGGGCCAAAATTCTGTCTTTTATACCTTTATTTATATCAACCAAGTTATCATTATCATACTTTTGACCCCAATAATCTTTTAAAGAAGACTACAGTGTTTTTTAAAATGTAATTAAATATTTTTATACAAAATAATTCTATCATTCAATGACCATCTAAAAACCAATGTAAGGAATTGGTATCATACTTCATGCATATCATGTTTAGACATACGTATATATACAAACAACTTATGAATGGTTTAATTTTGCAAAATATTCCTCAGGCACTGTGAGAGTAAAGATAGTGCTCAAAGTTGTATAACTATATAACCACAAATCATAACCCAAATAGAGGTAACAAAGTGGGTGTTCTGCCATGTTGAGAATTGTTATTTCATTTTAAATAACCTATTATATTCCCCTATTTGGGCTGACATGTTTCTGTGATTTATGAGACTCTCAAAAGTACAGGGCTTTTGCCTGTTCAGTATCTGTTTCAATATCTACCATCTTCAAAACCCTAAATAAGGCTGGGTGTGATAGCTCACACCTGTAATCCCAGCACGTTGGGAGACCGAGGCGGGCAGATCATTTGAGGTCAGGAGTTCAAGACCAGCCTGGCCAATATGGTGAAACCCCATCTCTACTAAAAATACAAAAAATTAGCTGGGCGTGGTGGCACATGCCTGTAGCTCCAGCTACTTGGGAGGCTAAGGCATGAGAGTCGCTTGAGCCTGGGGAACTGGAGGTTGAAAAGAGCCGAAATTGCACCACTGAACTCCAGCCTGGGCAGTGGGAGTGAGATCCTGTCTCAAAAAAACAAAAACAAAACAAACCCAAAAAACCCTAAACAGGATGGACCAGTGAATAATTTGGCTTCTGTGTATGATTTACTATTCTGAAAAGGGACAATCTGGATTCAGATTCAAGCTGTATCCAGACTCTAGAAAGATCCAGAATTTGCAGCTATGCAACCTTGGTTGAGGCGGTCCAAGGAGATTACTGCTTTATCCTGTTTTCAGTTCCAATCTCCTTAGGACCTTGCCAAGATAACATTAAGGTAGCCTCAATGTAGTATCACATAATTATCCCACTTGGCTTCCAAGTAGAATAAATTCTGTAAGTTGGCTAAATACTAATTAATATCCACCTTGAACAGAAGTAGAAAGTGAGGCTCAAAATTCAGTGATTTGTCCAAGGTTACATGGCTACTAAGAGCCAACCTGGTTAAAATTGAGGACAATTAAAACTGAGGCATAAAAAATGCATTTAGTATGTCATGTCATATCCATGCTTTATGGCAAATAAACTCAGTTGGGAAATCAGGAGTTAAGACATTTGGTATTTGTTTTGAATCTTGAAAAAAGGATTTCCATCAATGGTGATAATTGAGATATGTATCAAAAATAGAGCCACTAGTGTAAGCAAAGCCACTCTAAGGGAAAACCAAGGAGTACATGTGGCACTAAAGGAAAAGTCTAGGTGTATAGGGCAGGAAGATAGAATATGAGGTTTTATGGAACAGGATGGGAAAAGTTGTAGAGAGCCTTGAATGCCAGTATATGAATTTGACATATGATATAATTGTCATTATTTAAGCATTGGAATTGTTGGTATGTGAACAAGAGAAGTTAGGATAAGATTTATACTTTAACAAGAATTGGATAGCAGCAATATATGAAATTTCTTGGAAGGCAGATAATGTCATTTGGTAGGCCAGTTTGGGTGCTATTACAAACCAGCCCAGGTAGGCAATGAGGATTGAAATTGGTGGCACAAAAATATTGCAAACAAAGGAAAGAAGTAATACACATTTAAGTATCGCTTTTATGAAATTTCACTTCTACTTAGATAAAGAATTAAAAAAAATATTCTGGCCAGGCGCAGTGGTTCACGCCTGCTTCATGATTGGGAGGCCAAGGCGAGTGGATCATGAGGTCAAGAGATTGAGACCATCCTGGCCAACATGGTGAAACCCCATCTCAACTAAAAATACAAAAATTAACTGGGTGTGGTGGCGTGCCCCTGTAGTCCCAGCTACTTGCGAGGCTGAGGCAGGAGAATCACTTGAATCTGGGAGGTGGAGGTTGCAATGAGCCAAGATTTCACCACTGCACTCCAGCCGGCAACAGAGTAAGACTCTGTCTCAAATAAATAAATAAATAAATAAATAAATAAATAAATAAAAATTTAAAAAAAAGATTCTAAGACAATTCTAACTCCGTGAGATCTGAAAAGCGATGAACAGAAATAACATAGCAGGAGGTGCTCGTTTTAAGTTTTTTTAAGACTGCTACCTTTGACAACCCAATTAACCCATTGTTTTTAACTCAGAGCTTAAATATTGTAAGATTAATAGCTCGTACTCATTTTGACTACCATTTTGCACATTATTTCATTTAATTCCTTAAAGTAATCCTATAAGTTTTTATGCACCTGAGGAAATTGAAGTTCAAGGATCTAAAACAACATTTCCAGAATCATAAAGCTCCAAAGAAATAAAGACAGAATTTTAATTTAAACCCTCAATCTTTGGAGTTTGTGCTTTTCATCTAATATCTTATTATCTTTGTTTTATAAATACAATAGAAGTAAGACTATCATAGGGACCTCTCTAAAGTTGGAGAGTTTTTTACCTGTTTATTATATTTAATAGACATTTATTTTCCTGCAAACTTGGAAACAAAATTTTGATATTTATTACATTTTCTGGCAGGGCATTGGAAATTTTTGAAGAGGGGTCAGACTGCTTACTGGGAATTTTATTATCTATAGGAAGGAGAGTTAAGCCTTAAAATATACAACTATCTCTTTTATAACATTTAATGGAAATGGAAGAGACATAATAAATAAACACATATTTCATATCTTTTGTATACTTTATAATATTAAACCAACTGCAGATGTGAGGATGTCTTGAGAAAAAAAGTGATCACTATGATTTCTGTTACAAAGGCATAATTGGGATCGGAAGAGTTGAAGTGATGACCACAAGATGGTAGAGCAGTAAGTTCCAGGCTAGCCCTTAGTCCTGCCTAACTGAACACATTATTTTTTCTATTTGTAATCATTGATGGTAGAAGTAAAAGAGTAAGAGCTACTATGCATTTATTGATATAGCGTGTGTGTTAGGTTTACTGTTGCTGCCATTTTTTTGTAAGGATATTGAACTATCACTCAAATATTAATATAAGCATGAATAAGTCAAAATAAACAAATTTTAAAATACATATGATTGACACTACTCTAAGCCAGAATCCTTTACCTGCAAAAGTAAAAAACACCAAATGGCTTCAGAAACTTGTAGATAAATAAGTCAGTGCAAAGTCTAAAATTAAGTTGATATTTGTGTAAATTCACTAAAATGCTCAATAATTCATTGAGCAGCCTTCTTAAAAATATGATTAAAACAATCCAGTAACTTAGGAATAGCAGAATCAAATATACAGTTTAATTGAAGGCTATGAATTCATATCCCTCATCAGATGTGTAGTTAATGTACATTGAAATTTTTGCGTAAGTGTTCTGATTCAGTAAAAAGAATAGAGTTGTATTTAAAATCACAACTTTTCTAACGATTACATAATATATTGAATAAAGTAGCATTTAATCCCTTTAAGCCTCAGTTTCTTCTTCTGTAAAACAAGGATTATCTACACTGCAATATCACAACTTAGGATAAAATGAGGATGCTTATCATGTACACCCCTTACTCCTTGTGATGCATGATACTCAGCTATATACTTCACTTCACTTCGATTTGTGTCTCCACTTTACATCTTCTAGCGTCCCACAGGGCACATCTGAGGATGAATTAACACAGCTCACAATATGGATTTCCACCAATAGGTGGCACTAGTGATTTCTTTAATTTTCATTTTCAAACAAAATGAGAGCATTTATATTTAAAGTTAACAAAATATAGTCCCTTAATACAAGAAAGACTAAGAAAAAAAGAAAATTCTGATTACTTCAACTTTCTGCTGAGAAACAATAAGAATTCATGCAGACCATCTTTCACAAAATTTTACGATGTAAATTACATAGATGGTGATTGGTGTCTTATCTTGGAGAATACGACCTAAGATGAAAAAAAAAAATTATATGTGTATATGCGTAATCTCATAAGACTAGAGAAATACTCAAATATTTATGCACCCCGAGTATTAATTCTTAAAAGAAGCTGTCTGTAGACAATATTCTCTGTTACTTTCTTCATTTTGTATTCCTTACTACAATGATGTCTACCTTAATATGGCAAATTATTTTTAATGTCAATAGACTATTTCTTTTGCCTGATAACATGGCAAGCTAATGGATTTTGCAAGAAAAAAATCACTATAAAATGTCAACAATTGATAAATACTATAAATATTCAAAGAAACTGTCTCACTGAAGTTCTGATATATATCTGTTAATATCTCACTCTGGATATGACAGGCTGTTTTTTTCTTTAAGAAATCAGGTTAAATGTAAATTCAGCTGACAATATCACCTAATAAGTTTCATGTTGCTATGCATAAAAGCCAGTGTTTTCTATTACAATAATAAAATGCATATCTCTATTATGAATAAGGTACACCTAGCTCCAGGCAGGGTTAATATAACTGGAGCAATTTCCATTCATCATCATATGAAATTATTTTACTCAACACAAATAAAAATTAATTCAGTTATTCAGTAGAAAGATATTTGGTGCCTGTTTTGTGCCAAGCACTAAGATAGACACTGGAACAACAACTTGAATTAAATAACCTGTTACTCATTCATTTGATTCTACCTGTTGTATAGGTTTTGCAATAATATGTCTGAAAAATTAATCAAAATACATGTTGTATGCCTTGCCAATTTCTATAAAAAATGGGATCACAACAATCTAGAATATTATGGGCATGGATTATTCTAAGTTCTATTACCATTGTGTGAAGAACAGGGTTGGTAGAGAAAAATACTTTCCTTACTGGTTCTCTCTTGGAATTCTTGAGGTTTCTCTATATATTCACTACGGTAAGACCTTGGAGAGACCAGTTTTATGCCTTCAATTTGTTTCTTTTTCCTTGTTCCTAATGGTAGAGTAGTAAAACTCCTGTCCTGTTTCTCATTTTTTTTTTTCCTGGAGAAGACAGCAGCCTGTATCTTATGCATCTTATTTCTTTTTCCTCTGCAAAATTCATACTCAATATAATAACTCAAGAATTGGTGTTATGAAAGTACCAGAGGTTCAGTCTAGGTCCTACTGCTTGCCACACAGAAAGTCAATAACTGAGGCAATAATTATTGCCAAGGAAGAAGCCTATAATTGGGTGCTACAGCTGAGGAGATGGGAGCTCAGACTCAAATCCATCTCCCTGAATTACTAAAACTAGAGGTTTAAATAAAAGGAAAGAAATGCAACAGTGTGGCTGGGTACCTGTAATCCTAGCACTTTGGGAGGCCGAAACAGGTGGATCACCTGAGGTCAGGAGTTCAAGACCAGCCTGGCCAACATGGTGAACCCTCATCTCTACTAAAAAAACACAAAAAATTAGCCAGGTGCAGTGGCACGCACCTGTAATTCCAGTTACTCGGGAAGCTAAGGCAGGAGAATCGCTTGAATCCGGTAGGCGGAGGTTGCAGTGAGCTGAGATGACACCACTGCACTGTAGCCTCGGCTACAGAGTGAGACTTCCTCTCCAAACAAGAAGGAAAGGAAAGGAAAGAAGGAAAGGAAAGGGGAAAAGGAAAGAAAAGGAAAAGAAAAGAAAACAGGAACTAGAGAGGGGCAAGGAAACAATCATGATGAATTTAGGGTTTGACATCTGGATGGGATTGTCTAGATGTGGTGGTCTGGTGAGTTTCAGTTCTTTGATACTTTATTTTTGAGAGACCTAAAGGTCATTTCCTGAGTAAGGAATTCAGATAAAACAAATTTCAAAAAGTTTCAAGTTTTAAGACCAAAAGGGTCAATTTGATTATACGTTAAAAACAGGCTGGGTGTGGTGGCTCACGCCTGTAACCCCAGCACTTTGGGAGGCCGAGGCAGGTGGATCACAAAGTCAGGAAATCGAGACCATCTTGGCTAACATGGTGAAATCCCATCTCTACTAAAAATACAAAAAATTAGCCGGGCATGGTGGCAGGTGCCTGTAGTCCCAGCTACTCGGGAGGCTGAGGCAGGAGAATGTCATGAACCCAGGAGGTGGAGCTGGCAGTGAGCCAAGATCGCACCACTGCACTCCAGCCTGGGTGACAGAGCGAGACTCCATCTCCAAAAAAAAAAAAAAAACAAAAAACAACAACAAAAAAAACACATTTTTGGGACTATTGTGAATCCATTCAGTCTATTTATCAATTTCTCAGTCATGGGAAATCTGGTCATTGATCTTTCTGGATGCTTTATGCTGAGGAAGGGCATCATGGGCAGCTCCATAACAAGGGTGACAGTGTGGCCACCGAGGAATCAAAGGTTAATCTAATTCCATAGTTGTCTTCTGAAACACAATCTATCTCCAGTCCCCAGTTTCCATCAAAGACAAATCACAGCAGGACCAATATACCCACAAAATAAGCTTCAGTCTCACATACTTGGCCTGGTCTATGGGACCATGAGGTTGGTTTGACTGGTATTGTATTTGCCATGGTTGTTCGGGAATAGATTGGTCATCCCTTGAAGGCATTGGCTTAGTTATCCTCTATTAAAACAAATCCTACTGCTTTCATCCTCCTACGTCATCGCAGTTTGCTTCACTCTATCGCATAACTTTATATTTATCTCTACAAGCTGTTTAAGGGCATTGTTAAGACTTTTAATCTATATTAAGAGGCATATAAAATATCATATCTTACCTTGCACAAGCACAAAATTCTATAAAGATTTATTTATTAAGGACTAACTCCAAGGGGTCAAGGAAATCTTCACCAAACAGCAACAACTGGCTTTAAGTTAATTTGTATGTCTCAATAACTAAGTCACATTATCTCAAAAAGCATTAATTTAAAACCACTGAGTTTTTACACTGTTACATAATTTGGCCAAGGTAAGCATGAAAAACTCTGAAGCTAATTTGCAAACTAACAAGTTAGCTTGCCATAGGTTTATGGATATGAGAAGACATTCCCGAGGGCTGCATTACCAAAAGAAAATTCTGAATTTAGGGGACCTGAATCTTTTATAACAGACAGTGAGCATGTCTGTTTTTTGTTCTGAAAAAAGAAAATGTTATCTTTATTATCCTGACAGTAAGCATGTCTGGTCTATTTTTCTGAAAGTAAATACTAACTCTATTTTCTAAGTTGTTTGCTATACAAAAATTCTTGGAAAGAGGCTGGTTAAAATGTGTCTCACTGGTAAAATAGAAATGTGAAGGACCAAACAGTAGTATAATCAAATCTTAAAGTATTAGAATGAAATTACTTTAAAAGTTTTAGCCATACCTGAAACAATATTTCTACATATATTATCCCTATCAGATCATCATAAACTCTACTCTTGAACTCTTCAATAGAAGATCATTCATCATTTCATTAGATAGTTAATTACATTTATTCACAGTAAATCTTTATTCAAACCCACCTTGCAAAGATTTAACCTCCTGTCTAGAATAATACTTGCATTTTTAAAAGAGCTTTACCATAGTTTTGACTCATAGAAACTTACCATCAAATATATTATTCAATGACTTTTTTTTCTTAATGTCAACTGCTGTTAAACACATCTTTTTTTTTTTTTTGGTGTGGCTGCAAGATTTATTAAAGCGAAAGTGAAAGTAAAACGAAAGTGAAAGTAAAGCTTCCACGCTGTGGAAGGGCACCCAGAAGGGTTGCCGTTTCTGGTTTGGGTGTCTTGTGCTTATATCCCCTTACGACCCCTCCTTTTTTACTTTTTCTGTGATATATAATTAGCTTATTTTCTATCCTTGTGTGGGTTGGTGGGCCTGATTGGTTAAAAAAATCAGGCTGCAACTAGAGCTTAAATTCCCTATATGATTGGTTGAAGTTTCAATCCCTTAGCTTGCAGCTGTGACTCAATTTTTTTTTTTTTTTTTTTTTTTTTTTTTGAGAGGGAGTCTTGCTCTGTCCCCCAGGCTGGAGTGCAGTGGCGCGATCTCAGCTCACTGCAAGCTCCGCCTCGGGGTTCACGCCATTCTCCTGCCTCAGCCTCCCCAGTAGCTGGGACTGCAGGCACCCGCCAGCACACCCAGCTAATTTTTTTTATTTTTAGTAGAGATGGGGTTTCACCGTGTTAGCCAGGATGATCTTGATCTCCTGATCTCGTGATCCACCTGCCTCGGCCTCCCAAAGTGCTGGGATTATAGGCGTGATCCACCTTGCCCGGCCTCATTTTGTTTGTTTGTTTTGAAGCTAGATACAAGATTTGATATCAATCCCTATTTATTTTGTCTCAGAAGGCCAATTCATTGATCACTAATTTTGGACCTGTGAAGTAAAAAATGTCTTTCTTTATGAATTCATCAAGACATAGGCCGGGCGCGGTGGCTCACGCTTGTAATCCCAGCACTTTGGGAGGCCGAGGCGGGCGGATCACGAGGTCAGGAGATCGAGACCATTTGGCTAACACGGTGAAACCCCGTCTCTACTAAAAATACAAAAAAATTAGCCGGTCGTGGTGGCGGGCGCCTGTAGTCCCAGCTACTCGGGAGGCTGAGGCGAGAGAATTGCGTGAACCCGGGAGGCCGAGCTTGCAGCGAGCTGAGATCGCGCCACTGCACTCCAGCCTGGGCAACAAACAGAGCAAGACTCCGTCTTAAAAAAAAAAAAAAAAAAAAAAAGACATAATGCTAGTTACTGCAATGATGAAAACTTCATCAAATTTAAATGGGAAGCCAAAGAGGAATCATGCCTACAAAAAAGAAAAGAGAAAAAAGAAGTTCTCTTTCTTTTGACTATGTGCATTGATTATATTACTTGGTAAAAATGAATATGTGACTCAGAAAATGTCTGCTTTCTTCTAAACTCTGTAGGCAAATAATTGCCTTTACAATGCCATTATGAAAATCCACCATGTTCCCATTTATACTCACAAGCACTTTTTTCATATAGAAAAATTATGTTCTTTAAAATGCAGGTGGTACATGAAAATCCTTGCTTACATTTTTTTTTAAGAGAAGATTTAAAACTTTCTAACCAAATTTACAATTAAGTTATTTCAGTTCACAAACACTGGCTAAATTATTTTCAGAATATTTTATACAAATAATTCTTTTTTTTGTTTTGTTTTTGTTTTTGAGACGGAGTCTCACTCTGCCACCCAGGCTGGAGTGCAGTGGTGCAATCTCAGCTCACTGCAAGCTCTGCCTCCTGGGTTCATGTCGTTCTCCTGCCTCAGCCTCCCGAGTAGCTGGGACTACAGGCACCTGCCACCACACCCGGCTAATTTTTTTTGTGTTTTTAGTAGAGACGGGGTTTCACTGTGTTAGCCAGGATGGTCTCGATCTCCTGACCTCGTGATCTGTCCACCTCGGCCTCCCAAAGTGCTGAGATTATAGGCGTGAGCCACCATGCCTGGCCCAAATAATTCATTTTTTGAAATTTGTTTTAGTCTGATGACACCTACATCTCTATTAATTACTTGTAACTATTTTTTCTTGTTTTCCTACTTTGATTGGTTAGAAACTTGAAAGAATGGTGAAAAGAAGGATAATTACTTTGATTTTTAAAATACTTTCAATATTCAAATATTTTAATTTTTGTATCCACCTAGAATGATGATAGTGATAATGATGAAAATGATAATGAATTCGCTCTCAATCTACATTCAAGACATGAAAGAGGACTGGGTCCACACTAACTTTAGAAAGTCAATGACACCAAAATATGTATGAAGCAATGTAATTCACTGGTATCTATGATGGCTAATTTCATGTGTCAACTTGACTGGGCCATGGGGTGCACAGATATTTGGTCAAACATTATTCTGGGTGTTTCTGTGAGGGTGTTTTGGATGAGATAAACATTTAAATTGGTAGACAGAGTAAAGTAGATTGCCCTTCCTAACATGAGTGGGCTTTATCCAATCGAGGACCCGAATAAAACAAAAAGGCTTTTTTTCTGAAATAGGGTAAGATTTCTCCTGCATACACACACACACACACGCACGCATGTATTCTACTGGTTCTAGTTCTTTGGAGAACCCTAGCAAATACAGTGTCCTTACTGGGTTCCTATATAGCATGTTATTGAATTTTATTTACAAAATATTCTAGAATTTCATTTAAGGATCTCTCTGATCTTGTTTTTTTCCCTTGTTTATAAAAGGCCTAAAAGTATATGTAAAGATAATATAATAGTATATTATAATATTAATAGAGAATAAATATAAATCATTGTGATATTAATAGATTATAATAGAAAATTTCCATAAACCACTAAAACATGTTTAACTATTTCTACAAAAATGAGTTTCTTTTCTTTATGAACACACAAAAGGATTATATTTATTATGCTCCTTCAGAGTTATGTATAGCCATTTGATTGAATTCTAGTCAAGGAATTGTGAATGGGAATAATAGGTGTTGCTTTTAGGCCTAACTCATACAAACCTCCCACTGAGTTCCTCACTGTCATTTCCTCTTCTAGCTGTCTAAGATGGAGTGTGCCACTTACTTAGGCATGTGATGAAAATACTTAATTTCCCAAGGTACATGGAGCAGAAACATCTATACTACCCTTTATCCTCTGTTTATGCTAATAATATCTATTTTGGAATGTTACATGAGTGAAGAATAAAAATCATTTGAGTTTGAAGTATTATATTTGGTGTTTTTTTATGCTGCCAAAATATAGCTTGCCATAATGAATACCTTGGTTATGAGTAAGATTAAAATTAGTCTATATGACATAAGAACTGTTAGAATTACCACACATCATTCTGCAAAGTTTCACACATTCAGATTTCAAAATGGAAAGAAAAAAATTTTTTAAATTTTACATAAATATTTGCTGATTAATATGTTCAAAGTTTTGTGCTAAAAATTATATTGAATGTCTTCTACAAAAACCAATTAATGCCCTCCAGATGCTGGGAACAAATTACAGTTCACACAAATTTTATTTATATGTTTTAAGAACCTGTTACCTATGGGAGTTATATTACCATTATTTTTGAGTCAATGAATAAAGGGATGTAAGCAAGAAAGAATAGGAATACCAATGATAAATGCCATGGTTGTTTAGAAAAGACAGTTGTAAAAAAGGATTCAAAGAGGAGATACAACTTGTATCAGCACTTAATACATAGGTAGTTACATGATAAATAGGTAGACAGATAAATAATTGTAGCACAGGCCCATATAATTAGAAAGATATGGAGGAATACCATTTTAGATAGTCAAAGAGAAGCATAAATAAGAGTGAATGTAAAAGACAGTGAAGACACCATCCTGATAAGACTTGTGGCTTCATATAGATAAGTCGCTGGAAACCACGATAAACTGATGCTTCCTGTTTGTCAGATAGTGGAGTTGCTTACAGTAGTTTGCTAAGGCTTTTAGCATTTACCATATAGGCAATAAGAAGCCCTTTAAGATAATGTATGTATATCAACATTTTGAAGTAACTTTTTCAAAGTGCCTATTTTCAATTAAACATTTAGGGAAAAAAAGATGTTCTTGCGTCTTCTGAATTGTCAATGATGATTTAATTTTGCAGAATCACCATCAAAGTGTATTCTGTAGACAAGCTTTGAAAATTGGTAGAATAAAGACCTCAGAATCAAGTGTTCAAGTGCTTTCATAAAGTAGTAGTATAGACTAGATACAATGGCTCACGCCTATAATCCTAGCACTCTGGGAGGCTGAGGTGGGAGGACTGCTTGAGGACAGGAGGTTGAGAACAGCCTGGGCCACATAATGAAACAAAACTAAAAAATAAACTGGGTGTGGTAGCATGCACCTGCAATTTCAGCTATTTGGAAGACTGAGGCAGGAGGATCACTTGAGCCCAGGAGTCTGAGTTTGCAGTGAGCTGCATTGTGCCACCACACTCCATCCTGAGGCATAGAGCAAGGCCCTATCAGAGGAAGGAAGGAAGGGAGGGAGGGAAAAGAAAGGAAAGACAGAAAGATAAAGACAGAAAAGAAAGAGAAGAAAGAAAAAATAGGTCCATAAGAATGCCACACTCCTGGAAACGTAATCTACTGACTGTTACCTTTAATGTTTTCAGAGCAATGCAAAACAAGTACACTTTTCATTAAAAGAGGCTTTGAGAATACATTATGCTTAACTTTTCAGATGTATCTTTTTGTTTAGGAGGCTGCTTTAAACTGTCCAGCAGAAATCTGTTCACAACAGTGGCAAATTGATTAGAGCTGTGTTTTGGCTTTTCACGTCATTACATTTTTCTTGTATGTATTCATCCATCAGAATGTCTAATCCCATCCCAAATCTACCAGCTTCACTACTCTATAATAACTAGTATGACTACCTCTATGATAACAATAGCATTAATAATAATGCCATTATTAAGTTTGTTTTTTGAATTCATGCACAATATGTGTTATTTTCATGGCAGAAGATTGACACTTGTGAAAAAATGAGAGGTGAGAACAATGTCTGATGTTTCTGATTATAGTGACAAAATTCTGTCTCTTTCTCTCTCTAAATATCTTAGAAAAATAATTTAAAGTACTATAAAAAGTATCCTACCTTTCAAAGTGAATCATGGGAACAAACTCAAAATGACTTTGTAATGATATCAAGCATAAGTGAAATCTACAAGAGATGTATGATGTCTCCAGCAGGTTTAAAAGTTCAACCCTGAATCGGCTTACAAAATAAGCAGGCACTTTAAAAAATACCAACTTTTTCTGTGAAGACAGAAATTTTTGTGCCACTGTCAAAAAAAAAAAAAAAGGAAAAAGATATATAACTGTCTATTGATGTGAAACCGTGGGGAGTTTCTCAACTGTGGTATACTTATTCATAAAGTGAGAGTTTGCAAAACAGCCACATAAATATGGGTCATAAAGAATGGCCATAAGTAAAGCATCTACCTTTAGTTAACAAAATTCTAGGCTGCTAGGCTTTTAGGACATTGGGAAGATCAGACTACTTGCAAAGTGAAAGATTTAGACAGCCTACAGCATTCAGTAGCAGAGATTCAATAGATGGCACTCTTCCCTCTGCTTTGAGCTCATTCCTCAAGATGACTCAGATTTCCAGGTCTCCAGACAAATATGCTGGGCCCTCCTTCTTATCTCTTCAACATTTCTCTCCAATCACTCACCTATATTTAATTTGGTGCTTCAGCCACAGTAAGCTACTTATGGATGCCTTAATATCTCATTCTCTCTTAGGTCCCTATTCTTTTTCAAAATGTGCTCTCTCAGGTTGGGAAATCCCTCCTCTATCTTCTCATCAACTTGAGCAGTATGTCTACTGCTAGCCCTTTCTTCTAAACTCTCCCCTCATCATCATGCATCTTGTCTGTGCTCTTTCTTTTCTGTTTCCATAGTATCATACATATACCAGAGCGGTCACCTGTGAATACAAAATATACCATTAATTGTGCCTTTATCCTTCATTGGAAGATGAGCTCCTTAGAGAAGGAAACATTGTATTCCTCATGCTCTAATTCCTAATATAGCTGCCATATCATAAAAACTTTATATTTTCTTAAAGAACGAGTGAGTGAACCTAACCATCAGAGCTGTTTCCAACCTCTTTTCATATATTAACCCCTCCATAAAAAAGATCACGCTTTATTGTAATTTTTCTTTAACTCTCATTTCCTTTCCCAGTTTTATTGTATTTGCTTGTTTTTTGTGTCTAAGACAGACGTTTTTAATTCCTCTTTCCCATTTGGAATGTTTGTTTTTGTTTTTATTTCTTTGTGTTTTTTTGCTGCCATTTTAGTTTTGAAATTTTGTTAAGAATTGGTTGTGTATTCTTATAATCTTTACTTTTAAGGATAAAACATAAAAAATAATGAATATTAAGATATGATATTGGGCAGGCGCGGTAGCTCACGCCTGTAATCCCAGCACTTTGGGAGGCCAAGGCGGGAGGATTACGAGGTCAGGAGATCAAGACCATCCTGGCTAACACGGTGAAACCCTGTCTCTACTAAAAATACAAAAAATTAGCCGGGCGTGGTGTTGGGCGCCTGCAATCCCAGCTACTCGGGAGGCTGAGGCAGGAGAATGGCGTGAACCCGGGAGCAGAGCTTGCAGTGAGCCGAGATTGCGCCACTGCACTCCAGCCTGGGTGACAGAGCGAGACTCCATCTCAAAAAAAAAAAAAAAAAAAAAAAAAAGATGTGATATTAAGATTTTTCTTTTTGAATCAAATTCTTACTCTGGCACCCATGCTGGAGTGCAGTGGCACTATCTCGGCTCACTGCAACCCCCGCCTCCCGGGTTCAAGCAATTCTCGTGCTTCAGCCTCCTGAGTAGCTAGGATTACAGGCTCCCGCCACCAAGCATGGCTAATTTTTGTATTATTTTTTTTTTTTTAGTAGAGACGAGGTTTCACCATATTGGTCAGGCTGGTCTCAAACTCCTGACCTCAGGTGATCCGCCCGCCTCGGCCTCCCAAAGTGTTGAGATTACAGGCTTGAGCCACTGCACCCGACCAAGATACGATATTAACATTTATAGGCGGCCGGGCACGGTCGACTATTTGTATACAACCCAAAAACATAGATTATAACACTTATATTTTTAAAAGGCACACATCTATACAATTATAATTTGTATAAATTTATAGCAATTATAATTTGGGTGAAAGTACTCTAGAAAAATGGTCCAAATATTGATTTCATGAATCAAAATCTAATTTTATTATTTAATAGCTAGAAATTTAGATAGAATACGTGACTCTGTTTTTCTTAATAACATTTGTCTATAAGTCACATAATTGTTTACATTATACATTACATTATAAGGGGTTTTATGTGAGAGACTTGAGTAGAATGCCTGATTCTGCCATATATTCTTGAATGAATCTGCTAAAGACTTTCTCACCCTGTTTCCTTATCGGTAATAAAGGGATAAAATATTTCTATTTCTTCTGTAGACATTATTAAAGTATTTTAATTAATATTTTAACACTATTAAATAGTGTCCATAAAAGAAAAAAAGCATAGTGTTGCATCTAGACAGTGCTCAAAAATATTATGTTGAGGCTCAAAAAAAGATACCTCAAAGTATGAGGCTTTGGCATGCTAAGCACTTCAAACTGAAGGAAATGAAAAGGCTTTAGAAACAGGCTCAGGACCAAGGACTTTCTGACTTTCTCCTGTTTCTCCTAAGAACAGGGTGGAAGGAACTCTGAAGTTCCCTTATCTGAAGCTCCTTCAGAAGAAACACAATTGCCTTTGATGCCATCTGTGGAATTTCATTAATCAGGGAAGATTAAACTCATCTCAGGATGACTGAGGAATGTCACCACACCTAGACAGACTTTGTCCCAAGCTACAGTCTGTTCTTAGATTCCATTCAGTTTCAAAGAGAATCATTTACAAACTACAGTTTCTTCCTTTGGGCCGAATCAACAGTTCTGAAAATCATTTACTAGCTCTTAAATTGCTTATTCCCCCATCTCCTTTTCTTGTACAAAGGAAGTACTATTAATAAATCTGGTTCTTCTTTGAGATTTATATTTTCTGTGTCTCCATGCACGTAAATAAATATGTGTACATTTCGGCCCATTAATCTGTCTATTGACAGTTAATTTCAGCAGAATTAAGACTCAAATCTTCAGAAGAATATAGACAAATTAATTATGTCCCTATAATAATTTGCTGTTACTATTGTCATTACTCTTATTTTGTATAGTCTTCATCAGGGATAAACATAAAATAACATTGAGAAATCTAAAGTTAAATATATGTATATATGTGTATATATATGTATGTGTGTGTGTGTATACATATATATGAGATTCTACTTTCAAATGAGAGCAAGAGGAGAGGAGCTCCTCAGAACCCTCTTTAGCAAAACCAGTAACATTTTATACAGATATATATAGTTATTAGTTATACATGTATGTATATATATGTGCATGTGTATATATATGTGTATGTATATAGAATATGTGTGTGTGTAGTTTTACATATATAAAACTAGCTCTGTAAATGGCACTAAGTGCATACAGTGAGTGAAGAAACACTTATTCAGGAAACTATTAAATTTTCAAAAGATCTGTGAAAGTTTGCAGTATTCAGACCAAGACTCACACCCACAATCCTCTCTCCCATATCAACAAGGCTCAACAAGGCAAAACTCCAATCCAGACTGTTAAAACCAGTAACAAAGGACTTTCTTTCTTAGTTGAAGGACTATATACTCTGGAGGGGCAGGATGCTAACATTACTTATTCTGCCTCCAGCTACATGTTGCAGAGGTTAAATTCCACGTGAATATAGCCAAGAAGGGAGGGCATCCTTCTCCTCTGCCCCTACTCATGAGATGAAGGATCTATCCGCGGTGATGCATTGTTGGAGAATCCAATAAGATGAACAGCTAAATTATTCATTAGAAACAACAGAGACAAGAAGAAGTAGAATAATATATTTAAAGTACACAAAGAAAAAGACAACTATTGACCAAGTATCTAAAAAATAAATCTAGACACCAATCTTACACAATTCCACCAAATTAACTCAAAATAGATCATAGACCTAAATATATAATGCAAAACTCTGAAACTCTTAGATGATAACACAGGAGAAAACCTAGATGACCTTGGATATGACAATGACTTTTTAGATACAACATCAGAGATAGATCCATGAAAAAGATCATTGATAATCTAGACTTCATTAAAATTGAAAATATATGCTTTGAAACAGAAAACTTGAAGAGAGTAACAAGACAAGGCTATGCGTGTTGGGAGAAAATATTTGCAGAAGACACATGGTAAACATCATCCAAAATATATAAAGAACTCTTTTTTTTTTTTTTTTTTTGAGATGGAGTCTTGCTCTGTCGCCAGACTGGAGTACAGTGGCACCATCTCAGCTCACTGCAACCTCTGCATCCCAGGTTCAAGAGATTCTCCTGCTTCAGCTTCCCTAGTAGCTGGGACTACAAATGTGCACCACCATGCCCAGCTAATTTTTTGTATTTTTAGTAGACACGGGGTTTCACCATGTTGGCCAGGATGGTCTCGATCTTTTGACTTTGTAATCTGCCCGCTTTGGCCTCCCAAAGTGCTGGGATTACAGGCATGAGCCATTGTGCCTGGCCTCAAAGAACTCTTAAAACTGAATAATAAAGAAAAAAATTAAAACTGTGCCAGTCTTAAGTAGAAACCAAACCAAAGTATACAGATGGCAGTAAACAAATGAAAAGATGCTCCTTATCATATGTCATCAGGGTGCAAATTAAAACAACAATGGCATACCACTATGGTCCTCTTAGAATGGCTTCAATCTAGAAAATGGACAGCACCACATGCTGGTGAGGATGTGTAGCAACAGGAACCCTCATTCATTGCTGGTGGGAATGTAAACTGGTACAGAACTTTGAACGACAGTTTGGAGGTTTCTTAGAATACTAAACATATACTTAAGCATAATCCATAGCCACACTCCTTGGTATTTACATAAATGAGTTGAAAACTTATATCTCTCAAAAACCTGCACATAGATGTTTATACTAGCTTTATTCATAATTGCCAAAATGTTGAATCAATCAAGATATTCTTCAGTAAGTGAATGGATAAATAGCCTGTAGTGTATCCAGGCAATAGTATTCAACAACAAACATAAATAAGCTATCAAACCATAAAAAGACATGGAGGAATCTTAAACTGATATTAGTAAGGGAAAGAAGTCAATTTGGAAAGGTTACATACTGTTTGATTTTAAATATATAACATGCTGAAAAAGGCAAAACTGTTGAGACAGTAAAACCATCGGTGGTTGCCAGGGTTTAGGGGTGGGGAAAGAGATAAATAGATGGAGCACAGAGAATTTTTAGGGCAGTGAGGTGCTCTGTGTATTATAATGGGGAGAACATGTCATTATACATTTCTTCAAACCCATACAAGGTACAATGCTAAGAGTGAACTCTAGTGTAAACTATGGACTTTGGGTGTTATGTGTTGATGTAGATTCATTTGTACCAAATGTACGACTTTGGTGAGGATGTTGATGGTAAGAGAGACTATGCACATGTAGAGGCTGGGGCAATATGAGAAATCTTAAAACCTTCTTTTAAATTTTACTGGACATCCAAAACTGCCCTAAAAAAGTTAACTTTTAAAAAAGGAAAACTACAGTCCCAATAAATATAAAGTAAAAACTAACAGAATTGAAGGCAGAAGTAAATCGTTCAAAAATAACAGATGAAGACTTCAATGCCCCACTTCCAATAATGGATAGGACAGCTAGGGAGAGCTTAGTACACATGGAAAACTCTCTGAAATGCAACACGTAGTAGGCTTAGGATGAACCTCAATAAATTTAAAATAATCAAGGTAATACAAAGTATGTTCTCCAACCACAATGGAATGAGACAATAAAAGTCAATAAGAAATTTGGGAAATTCAAAATAGCTGGAAATTCAACAACACACTCTTCAATGATTAAATGCATCAAATAAAAAAATAGAAGAAAAATTAGAAAATAGTTTGAGGTGAATGAAAATGAAGAATTGGCATATTAAATATATGGGATCCAATTAAAGCAATGCTTAGATGAAAAACTTTACCTAATACCTATATTAATACAGAAGAAAGATCTTAACTAAACCTTCCACCTTATGGAGAAGGAACAAACTAAAAGAAGCCAAATGAAGGAAATAATAAAAATTCAAAAATAAATAAAAATTGAAAATTTAAAAAATCTAGTGAAAAAAATATTTTATTATTATTATTATTACTATTATTATTATTATTATTTGAGATGGGGTCTCACTCTGTTGCCCAGGCTGGAGTACAGTGGTGCAATCTCAGCTTACTGCAAGCTCCGTCTCCCAAGTTCAAGCAATTCTCCCGCCTCAGCCTTCCGAGTAGCTGGGATTACAGATGCATGCCACCACACCTGGCTAACTTTTTGTATTTTTTTTAGTAGAGACGGGGTTTCACCGTGTTAGCCAGGATGGTCTCAATCTCCTTACCTTGTGATCCGCCTACCTTGGCTCCCAAAGTGCTGGGATTACAGGTGTGAGCCACGGTGCCCAGCCAAAGAAACTGCTTCTTTAAGAAGATCAATGTAATTGAAAAAAACTTAGCTACAGTGATCAAGAAAAAAGAGAAACCAAATTACTAGAGTCAAAAATGAAAGATATTACTGTCAACTTTACAGATATAAAAAGTGATTAAAAGATTAATATGAACAGTTCTATGACAATAAATTAGATAACAGGGATGACATTGAAGAATTCAGCTACCAACTACCAAATCTGATGCAAGAAGAAATAAACAACCTAATTGGACTTGTAACAAGTAAAGGAACTGAACTAGTAAAAAATTGCCCCAAAAGTAAAGCTCAGGTCCAGATGGTTTCACAGCTGAATTCTATCAAACATTTAAAAAATAATTACTATCAATTTTCTCAGACAATTCAGAAAAATGGAAGAGGGAATACTTTCCAAATAATCTTATGAGTCCAGAATTACCCTGACAGAAAACCAAATAAAGAGATAAGAACTAAAAATTAATACCTGTTATGAATTTGGACATAAATCCTAAACAAAGTATTAGCAGACTGAATCAAGCAACATGTTAAAATCTCATACACCAGGGCCAAGTGGAATTTATCTTATGAGTGCAAGGTTATCCAAAAATTGTTAGTGTAAGAAAAATTTAAAAGAAAATAAAAATGTGTGATCATCTCAAAAGATTTGAAAAAACACCAGCACCATTTCACAATAACACACTAAAAAGCTATATATTTAAAGGAACTTTCTCAATTTGATAAAAAGTCTGCTACGAAAAACACACCAATAACATCATATTTAATAATGTAAGACTGGATTTTTCCCCCTAAAATCAGGAAGAAGATAAAAATATGTACTTTTGCCACTTCTGTTCCATACTGTATTAAAGGCCTTATGGATGCCAATAGGTAAGAAAAAGAAAAGTCAACCAGACTGAAAAGGTGAAGTAATTATATACCTATTCATAGATGACTTGATCATGCATATATAAAATCCTAAGGAATCCAGAAAAATATGATGAGAACTGATAAACAAGTAATGTTTCAGGATACAAGATAAATGCACAAAAAGAAAAAAATACTTTTACACATTTGTAATGAAAAATCCAAAAATAAAAGACAATAATGTTTTTAGTAGAGTCAAGCAGAAGACAATTATTTAACACACATCATAAATGAGAAACTTGTACTTTGACAACTATGAAACATTGCTGAAATGAATATCTAAAGAAGTAGAAAAACATTCTATTTTAACAGATTTGAACAGAATATTGTTAAAATGGTAGTAATTTTAAAGTCGATCTGCAGATTCAGCCTATCCTTATCAGTATCCTAAATGACTTCTTTGTAGAAATAGACAAACTGATTCTAAATTTATATGGAATTTGCAAGGGACCCAGAATAGTCAAAGCAATCCTGAAAAACAAAAACAAATTTGTGAGGACTCATCTTTCCTGATTTTCAAACTTACTGTAAGAATATGGTAATCAAGGAAGTATGGATTTTGCATGATAATAGACTATAAGTTAATGAGATAGAATTGAGAGTCCAGAAAAAGGCCCATGTGTCTATGGTCAACTGATTTTCAACAAGGGTGACAAGATGATTCCACAGGGAAAGAATAATCTATCTATTCAACAAGTGGTACTGGGACAACTAAACAGTCATATACAAAAGAATGAAATTGTATACTTATCTCACTCCATAAATAAAATATATCCAAAATGAATCACCAATCTATATGTAAAAAATAAAGCTATTAGAAACATTGGGGTAAATCTGCATGACCTCAGATTTGGCAGTGGATACTTAGATAGGATACCAAGAGCATGAGCAACAAAAGAGAAAAAAAGTTGAATTGTATCTCATGAAAATTAAATCCTTCTATGATCCAAAAAACACTGTCACAAAAGTGAAAAAAGAATCCAAATAATGAGAAAAATATTGGCACATAGTGTATCTGATAAGGGATTCATATGTAGAATATATAAAAACAGTGACAACTCAACAATAAAAGACAACTAACTCCATTAAAAACGGACAAAACAATCTGAATACATATGTTCCAAAGAAGATATACACATTACCAATTAGCACATGAAAAACTGCTGAACATCATTAGTCTTCAGATAAATGTAAATAAAAACCACAATTAGGTACCACTTTATATTCATTAGGTTATCTATAATTTTAAACACTCAAATAATGACAAGTATTGATTAATATCGGAAAATGAAAACTTTTCTACACCGCAGGTAAAAATGCAAATGGCACAGTCACTTTGAAAATCGTCTAGTAGTTCCTAAAATAATAATTTAACACAGTTCCAATTTGACTCAGCAATTTCAATCTTAGATATGTATCTTCCTAAAATGAAAACATATTCACCTATAAACTTGTACATAAATTTTTATAGCAACATCATTCATAATAGCTGAGAAGGTAGCAACAACCATCTACTGATGAATTGATAAATACAATGTAGTACCTCCAATGTAATATTATTCTGTCATAAAAAGAAATAAAATACTGATACACTCTCCAACATGAATGTTTCTTAAAATACATTTTACTGGGAGGCGCTAAAATTGACTTTTGAAGTCTGTACTTATCGACGAATATATTAAAACCACTGAATTATAGAATTTAAATAGAAAGTTATATAATACAAATTATATTTAGGTAAAGCTACTATTAAAGCAATGTGTATATATATATATAGATAGATAGATAGATAGATAGATAGATAGATAGATAGACTATATGTCTGCACATCACCTTTGTAGTTTTTAACTAGTTTAAAAATTCTAAAACCATTTTTCCAAATACCTTATTTATTAAGTGTTCAGTCCTTTTCATCCTCTTGCTCTGTATTTAACTTTTATTCAAGTAACATGGAAATATGATTTTAAATCACACTTTTTGTAAGTAAAACAGTATCAGAAAATAAATGGACATGTATCACCTAATCACAAACTTTTGATTCTCAGTACTAACTTACGTTAAGGCCTCTCTATTACAATGACCCATTTTACAGACAGGAAAGGTTAGGTTCAGACACTTTAAGAGACTGGCTTCTATCTTTGGATGAAATAAGTACTTGAAATCACTTTAGCAGCTTTACACACTGGCTATTTGTTCTTGCATGATTGCAGTTATTAGTTTCTTCTGAAAGTAGAATTTTAATGTTAATTGTGAATAGTTGTGTAGAAAATAAGTTCATTTAAAGCTGCTTTAATCCCTAGGAGTATATATGTGTACTTTAAAATTCTCTGTTATAAGCTAAGTTATGAACCCCCAAATTCATATGCTGAGGCCCTAACCCCCATACCTCAGAATATGACTGCCTTTGGCGATAGGGTCAAATGAGGTAATTGAGTCAAAATGAGGCTATTATGTATGACCTACTGCAGCCTGACTGATGTATTTAGAAGAGACACATAAGGACACAACGAGAAACTGGCCATCCACAAGCCAAGGGACGAGGCCGCAGGAGAAATCAATTCTACGGACACCTTGATGATCTTGCAATTCTAGTCTTCAGAACCATGAGAAAATAAATTTACGTTATTTAGCCAGCTAGTCTGTAGTATTTTCTTATGGCAAACATAGCAAACTAATACAGTCTCCGAATCGAATTTGCTTCTAATTGTTGCAGTTATTTGAATTAATATATTCAAAAGACAGCCACAGGATTTCACTTGTTTTGTATTTCTTGATATCCTTTTTAAGCACAGCTTTCAAATAGCACCTGGGTGGGTTTTCTTGACAAATTTAATCCTGGTGAATTCTTCATAGCAGATATCAAGAGAGAATATTATTCTTTTCTCTACTTTCCTCTTTTTTAAGGTTTACAGTTTTATCAAGAGGTTTAATCATTATTGTTACACATAGATCTGGACACAACTGTCTCTGGCCATGGGAATAATAGATTTGGCAATAACTTCTTTTTCTTTTTTCAAGGTAGGATGCCTCAAATCCAGATTATTTATTTCAAATAACACATGAACTGAGGCACAAATGTTTTTGACCCTCTCTCCTGGCCCCTAGAGAGCTAACTTGTATTAAATAAGCCTTCATTAGACAAGCCAGAGGCTCACCTAGGATTAGTGCCACGCCAAAACAGCCAGAAATTTCTCATACTGGCCCAATTCACCTCATCCCAACGTTTATAAATGCAGATGGCCTTAATAAATCTGTGGTAGAAGAAAGCAGTTTTTGTAAAATAACCAGATATTTTTGTTTTTAATCATCTATCATGATTGGCAAATTTGGCTTTGAGTAGTGTATTACACAAAGTGAATACGGCTGCTACCCAGAACTGATTTTTGTCTGTATCTTTCCAGTGGAGTGCAGTTCTTTTTAAAAAGAAGGTTGCCTTTCGCTTTTTGTGTGTGTTGATTGCTGTCTGCCCCTGTTCCATTTTTTCGAAGTAAGTTTATGGCTGGCCAAAGATTTAAAGGAAAACACCCTCATCTTCTTTTGCTGCCCGCATTCTGTTTGCTGTAGCGGGCTTTCTGATAAAAGGAAAGAATGATGGGAAACAGATGCGGTGCCATCATGTGCCTACCCTGATTAAATGGCTGCTTTTTACTCCTTTGAAAATATTATTTCATGCATTACTTCTCGGTAGTACAATTGAATCCTTTTCTCATTTTCCTAGACAGTTAATGTCGACTGGACCTAAAACCTGAAAAGGTAATATTTACAAATTTGAACACATATATCTGCCTCTCTGAATACCTCCATTTAAATGTCTCTTAATGTCTTATCAGCTCTTGAAAATAATTAGCAAATTGAGTAGATGCATGACATCATAATTTCTGATCTCACCTCAAAGAACAACAAAAGTCTACTATGAATTCAATAGTGAATTTTAATGATTTTTGCACTGCATTCATTACATCTATATACATTTCAAAAACATATCTGTGGCTAGGCGTGGTGGCTCACTCCTGTAATCCTAGCACTTTGGGAGGCCGAGGTGGGCGGATCACAAGGTCAGGAGTTTGAGACCAGCCTGGCCACTATGGTGAAACCCCGTCTCTACTAAAAATAATAATAATAATAATAATAATAATAATAATACAAAAAATAGCCGGGCATGGTGGCGAGCACCTGTAGTTGAATCTGGGAGGCAGAGGTTGCAGTGAGCCGAGATCACACCACTGCATTCCAGCCTGGGCGACAGAGCGTGACTCAGTCTCAAAAAAAAAAAAATCTGTAACACAATTTCTGACCTAGAGATGTTTACTGCACACACGAATTCACTGTTATCGAAGCTATTCTGTCATTTTTATCTCCACTGTTTGGAAACCGCTGCTCTGGGCCATTTGATAATGGGCATAGCTAATATAAATACAATGCTATTAAAAATATATATTCTTCCATCTTTTTAGATGTATGTGTCTATATTGTCATTCATTCAGTCATTATTAAATATTAACTGATAATCATCATTTATCCATGAGTCAGGCTGTATATGTGATAGATATAATAAGTAATACATCAAAGCTGCAGGCTTCTTAAAGTATGAATTATTTATCTATTTTTACCTAACCATATATCCACTAAGTTAGCCACTTAAATGGCATCCATTTATTATCTCAGTTTGTGGGGGTCAGGAATCTGGACATGGCTTTGCTTGGATTTCTGCTTTGGGGTCTTAACTGAAAATTGAAGCCAAGGTTGTGATTATGATCTTTCCTCAGTCTACCATGGTGATGGATCCACTTTCAAGCTGATGTGGATGTTGGCAGAATTCAGTTGCTATGAAGCTAGAGACTTGAGGGCTTCAGTTTCTTGGCTATTGACAGGACTCACCCACGGTTCCTGAACAGTCTCTACATATAGAAACTCGAAATATAGCAGCTTATTTTATCAAACACAGCAAGGACAGAGACTTCTGGGAAGAAAGTGTTTAGTTTACTAGTGATATTCTACTGTGATGCAGCTGGCGTTCCATATATTTCATGAATAGATTAATTGTGGCAAAGCAGACCATTTACATGGCATGGCCCTGGTCTGTTCCTGCATACTGTCTAGTTCTGAGAATAATTAGGAAAAAGTAAGGGGGTAATTATCACTGAGTCATAATAAGAATTTCTCTGACTGGAGTATTCATGTATCAAATATCAAAGAATGGACTTATTCTATCTATCCTCTTTTATGAAGGGGTTTACTAACATTCTCTACAATGTTTAAATGATGATGCACCTGTTCAAAGCAGGCTAATTCTGACTCTATTTTAAGGAATTTATTCTTATTTCTTAACTTCATCTACATGCAAGCAATTTTAGATTTTGATGATTAAAACAAATTATCTAGAAGATTTATCATCTTGCAATTTTCATTTAAGTCTATAATCCTTTTGATTTTTGTATAAGGTGTAAAGTCCAGGCCAAGGTTCATTTTTTCTGATAGATGTCCCACTGGTCTAACACCATTTATGGAAAGCCTCTTCTTCCTCCACTGAAATGCTTTTGCTCCTTTGTCAAAAACTAATTTGGTATATTCGTGTGGATTTATTTCTGGGTTCCTATTCTATTATCTCGGTTTGTGTAACTATCCTCCCACCAGTACTATACTATCTTGATTACTGCACCTATGTAGGACATCTTAACATTGAGAAGAATGATTCCTAATACTTTGTTTTTTTAAAAAAATATTTTGGGTAGTTTTGGAACATTCTCTTTCCATATAAATTTTGGAAGAAGCTTACATATGCCTGTAAAATACTTGCTGAGATTTGACAAGAATTGCGTTAAACTGACTGGGTACGGTGGTTCACGCCTGTAATCCCAGCACTTTGGGAGGCCGAGGCGGGTGGATCACGAGGTCAGGAGATCGGGACTATCCTGGCTGACACAGTGAAACCCCGTCTCTACTAAAAATACAAAAAAATTAGCCGGGCACGGTGGCACGTGCCTGTAGTCCCAGCTACTCGGGAGGCTGAGGTAGGAGAATCGTCTGAACCCAGGAGGCAGAGGTTGCAGTGAGCCGAGACTGTGCCAAATCTATACCATAGTATATTTCTCCAGATGTTTAGGCCTTCCTTGAATTCTTTAGTGAACATTTTATAAGTTTCATCATATAGATTTTATACATGCTTTGTTAGATATATATATTTAATTCTCTTTGGAACTATTGTAAGTGGTATTGTTTTTATTTGGTTCTACTTGTTCATTGTCGGTATGTAGAAATGCAATTGAATTTTTTTGTGTTGATCTCATATCCTGAAACTTTTAGGAATTCACTAGTGTATTATAGAAGTGTTGTTTGCTTATTTTTTCTTTACATTTCCTGAGATTTTCTACATAGACAACCATGTCATTTGCAAATAGAGACAATTTTATTTTTAATTTTTACGCATTTCATTTCTTTTTCTTGACTTACTACCTGGCTAGAATTTCTAGTACTAGGTTGAATACAAGAGGTGAGAACAGAATACTTGCTTTATCCCTAATCTTAGAGGGATAAATTTACTCTTTCACCATCAATTATGATGTCAGCTGTATTTCACAGATGATTTTATGAGGTTGAGGAATATAGGAGAAAATCCTCAGGACTTTGAACTAGACAAAGAGTTTTTAGTGTTGATATCAGAAGCATAAGCCATACAAGTAAAAATTGATAAATTCCATCTTACCAGAAGTAAAAAAGTTTTGTCTTTTAAAAACCCAATTAAAAGGACAAAATGATAAGCTACAGACTTGGAGAAAATATTTACAGTGCACATATTTAACAAGGCCTTGTACCTACTATACATAAAGAATTCTCAAAACTAAACAGTTAAAAAAGGATGATCCATTTCGAATATGGACAAAAAATATGCACAGACATTTCAACAAAGAGGATATACAAGTAGCAAGTACACATAGGAAGAGATATTTAGCATCATTTCCCATTAGAGAACTACAAAGTAAAAAACTGATTTCACTTATACACCCATACAATAGGTAAAGTTTTAAAAATTGTGATAACACCAAAGGCTGGCAAGAATGCACAAATATTAGGTCACTCATAATTGCTGATAAGAATGTAAAATATGTAGCCACTCTGGAAATAATTGGAAGTTACTTTTTAAATGTAGTCTGACAATACAACAGAGAAACTGCACTCTTGGGCATATACTTTAGAAAAATGAAGACATTTTCATGTAGTACTTTATAAATTAATGTATTCTGCAGCTCTATTCATAATGGCCCCAAAGTGGAAACTCTCAAATGTCCTACAATGGATGAATGGTTAAACAAACTTTAGTACCTCCATGCCATATATTACTTGGCAATATAAAGGACAAAGCTATCGATACACACAACTTAGGTTAATCTAAAAAAATGCTGAATAAAGAAAGCCAATTTCAAAATGATATGTATTATTCCATTTTTTGTAATACAAAATATCATCATTATAATGATGTAGAAGATATTACTGGTTGATAGAGTTTGGGAATAGGTGTTGGAGATGGGTGTGGATTAAAGGAAAGTATCTTGACTGGCTGTAGTTATGAAGGCCTACTTATGTGGTAAAATTTCATAGAGCTACACACATACCTGCACAAACACAAATGAATGCATGTGTAATTATGCATAATTGGTGAATTGTGAGTGAACTTTGTAGATTATAGCCATGTCACCTTTCCGTGTTTGATATTGTACCATAGCTGTGTAGGATGTTAACATTTTGGGAAGCTAGGAGAAAGGTACACAGGACTTCCCTATACATTTCTTTGCAACTTCCTGTGAATTTATAATTATTGGCCAGGCACAGTGGCTCATGGCTGTAATCACAGTACTTTGGGAGGCCGAAGCAGGTAGATCACCTGAAGTCAGGCGTTCGAGACCAGCCTGATCAACATAGTGAAACTTTGTATCTACTAAAAGTACAAAAAATTAGCTGGGTGTGGTGGCGGGCGCCTGTAATCCCAGCTACTCCAGAGGCTAAGGCAGGATAATCGCTTGAACCCAGGAGGCAGAGGTTGCAGTGAGCCGAGATCGCGCCATTGCACTCCGGCCTGGGCGACAAGAGCAAAGCTCCATTTCAAAACAAACAAACAAACAAAAAAAAAAAACAAGCAAAAAACAAAAACAAACAAAAATACATACTTTTTACCCCAATAAGAAACAAATTCCAAACCATTTAAAGCAATTTAAAAAACCCTAAAATGTAGAGCTTATAAGTTGTTTTTTGTTTTTGTTTTTGTTTTTTTTTGTTTTTTTGAGACAGTCTCCCTCTGTTGCCCAGGCTGGAGTGCAGTGGCATGATCTAGGCTCAGTGCAAGCTTTGCCTCCCGGGTTCACGCCATTCTCCTGCCTCAGCCTCCCAAGAAGCTGGGACTACAGGCACCGGCCAACACACCCAGCTAATTTTTTTTTTTGTACTTTTAGTAGAGATGGGGTTTCACCGTGTTAGCCAGGATGGTCTCGATCTCCTGCCCTGATGATCCGCCCGCCTTGGCCTCCCAAAGTGCTGGGATTACAGGCATGAGCCACTGCGCCCGGCCAGAGCTTACAAGTTTTTAAAAGATAATTTAAAGTGTGAATATGAATTCCGGATAATTTATCTCTGTGCCTTGTGAGAATGTTTGCTCTCCTACCTAGTAGAGGCTAAAATGTGACCTTCAATCCCCTGACCATATCTTTAAAAGTGCAAGTATACTCTTGCTTCAAATCACATTAATTCAATACCCTTAGAAATTTGAAAGAGTATCACAGAAACACTAGTTGGTTCGTATCAGGCAAACCTGTGATCATGGAGCTCTAGGCCATGGGTGTTAGATCTAGCACCCCAAAACAGGGACAGAAGAACCCTCAAAAAGAGAATGAATACAGTGAAATAAGGGATTGCAGAAGACCTGAGATAGTGAAAATAATTTTGACCTTTGCTTCTTCAATTAAAGTTTTTTGTTTTTCTTCTTTTTTTTTTTTTTTTTTTTTGAGACAGAGTCTTGCTCTGTCGCCCAGGCTAGAGTGCAGTGGCGTGATCTCAGCTCACTGCAGCCTCCGCCTCCTGGGTTCAAGTAATTCTCCTATCTCAGACTCCTGAGTAGCTGGGATTGAGGGCTGTACAGGCATGCACCATCACGCCCATCTAATTTTTGTATTATTAGTAGAGACAGGGTTTCACCATATTGGCAAGGCTGGTCTCGTACTCTTGACCTCCTGATCCACAATGCCCCCCCTACCGCCAGGCCTCCCAAAGTGCTGGCCTTGTTTTTCATAAGTTTTAGATGTATTTCCTGCCATTGGATTCTGTGTAATAATTTGTATATCCCCTACCTTTTCAACATAATGTCAGCAGTTTTTATCTTAACTATTTCTTATTAAGACATGATAGATTTCAATTTTGAAACTAAGTATGCTTATAATCTGGTTTCAAATGGAAGTTTCTTTGTTTTTCTTTAATTCAGCCTGGCTATTCTTTCCCTGACCTTCCCTCTCTTTAATTACATTCCTCAAGTAAAAGGCAAAAAACAAAGAATATAAGTGCTAGAAAAATCTATCAGTGATTCAAATTTCTTACAGGTATAGAGATTAGACTTTTTGTTTTAATTGAATTTTCAGATTGTCTACAAATTCTTTCTGCCTGATAACACTCCAACAATTACTAAAGGTGTTTAATTGGCTGCCACACTTTGCTGTGGGATTGGTAGATGCTCTTAAGGAAAAATGTTTTGAGTCTTCCACTATTTGCCATAGAAAGGTTTTAAAGAATTTTTGTGTATAGATGCAGAGTTTATCATAGTTACATGTCCTGAATCTTATAAAATTATTTTCTTACAATTTTTAGAACTTTCTATGTATTTTAGTACCTAATATATTCTAGACAGGAAATGAACTCGATACTCATGTGGATCCCAGGGGGCTGTCAGTCATATCAATGTTTTTAGGAATAGGAATATGTTTCAAAAATGCACATGCTTTTTAATTCAGCCTTTCTATTTGTGTGAATTAGATCCTATATAATTTTCTAAGAAAATACAAGGTAATACTTAGTTTGAAGACTATCTATTGTACCACCTTTTCTTTTTCTTTTTTTTTTTTTTTTTTTTTTTTTTTTGAGACGGAGTCTCACTCTGTCACCAGGCTGGAGTGCAGTGACGCCATCTCGGCTCACTGCAACCTCTGCCTCCCAGGTTTAAGTGATTCTCCTGCCTCAGCCTCCCAAGTCTCTGGGACTACAGGTGCCTGCCACCCCGTCCGGCTAATTTTTTATATTTTTAGGAGAGAGGGGGTTTCACTGTATTAGCCAGGATGGTCTCGATCTCTTGTCCTCGTGATCCACCCGCCTTGGCCTCCCAAAGTGCTGGGATTACAGGCGTGAGCCACAGCACACGGCCTATTGTACCAGCTTTTCTAAAGGTCAGACAAGCTAAATAGCTAACATTAGGCTACTGGCTTACTATAGAAGCAGATATATATATATATATATATATATATATATATATATGCAGTGGAATAAAACCCAAACCAAATTGATGAGACAATTTTAAAAATCTACATTTTATCTGTCTAAAGGAAAGCCTATAGTATAGCTTCTGAATACACTTGCTTTCTTACTTATATTGTGTTCCTTATGCTTTAATGTTTCTGTACTATTTTTCTAAACTTTGTAGACTGTATAATAAATTAACATCTTTTTTTTTTTTTTTTTTTTTGAGACAGAGTCTCGCTCTGTTGCCCAGGATGGAGTGCAGTGGTGCGATCTCGGCTCACTGCAAGCTCTGCCTCCTAGGTTCACGCCATTCTCCTGCCTCAGCCTCCCGAGTAGCTGGGACTACAGGTGCCCGCTACCACGCCCGGATAATTTTTCGTATTTTTAGTAGAGACGGGGTTTCACCATGTTAGCCAGGATGGTCTGGATCTCCTGATCTCGTGATCCGGCCCTCCTCGGCCTCTCAAAGTGCTGGGATTACAGGCGTGAGTCACTGCCCTCGGCCATAAATTAACATCTTTAGTGGCTTGAAAGACACATTCATTATTTCACACTTTCTTTGGGTCAGGAGTCCATGCACAGCTTAGTAGAGCTTGTTCAGAGTTTTATAAGCCTGTGTTTTTGTTTTGTTTTTGTTTGTTTGTTTGTTTGTTTTCGAGACAGTCTCGCTCTTTCACCAGGCTGGAGTGCAGTGGTGCGATCTCAGCTCACTGCAACCTCTGCCTCCCGGGTTCAAGGGATTCTCCTGCCTCAGCCTCCGGAGTAGCTGGGACTACAGGCATGCGCCACCACGCCTAATTTTTGTATTTTTAGTAGAGACGGGGTTTCACCATGTTGGACAGGATGGTCTCAATCTCTTCACCTCGTGATCCGCCCACCTCGGCCTCCCAAAGTGCTGGGATTATAGGTGTGAGCCACTGAGCCTGGCCCAGCCTGTGTATTTATGTGAAGCTTGAGGTCCTCCTTCAACCTCCTTGGTGGTTGGCAGAATTCAGTTTCTTGCAATTGTAGGAGTGAGACCTTCAGCTCCTAGAGGCTACCCATCATTCCCTGCCAATGGGCCCGCTCTATATTATGTTACTTTGTTTCTCCAAGGCCAAAGGACGATGTCTTTACTGCATATGTTAGGCCTATCCAGCATATCCTTCCTTTTGACTAACTCAGAAAAAACTGATTGGGATTATTGGTTATACTCACAAGATCCCTTTGCCTTTGCTATCTAAAGTAACCTAATTACAGAAATCTCATATTTCTTTCTACATTTAAGAGAACGGAATTATGAAGATGGTATGAGTTATTGAGGATTATTTTAGAATTCTGCCTACCAGATACTATAATGTTTAATTTATTTGCAAAACTGAGATAATAGTGTTTCTAACTTAATAGGGTTTATATAACAAATAAGATTAATGATATAACATCTAAATTTGGTATCAAATATATAATCTTTGTGTTATGGTCTTTATAATCGATAGTATTTGTGGTGTTGACACTGGAAGAAGGTACTTACACAATGTACAAAATGCAACATACTACAATCTTACAATGACTATCACTGGTTAGAATAGGATCAAGGATAATTTTTATTTTCTATATATGTATATTATGACATTAATATTATTATAGTCTTTTGTATTTTATGCAATAATTACTGACACTTAAATAGCATTTATCATGTGCCAGTGCACTATTATAAATTCTTTTTATAAATTGAGTAATTTAATTCTCATGCAATATGATGAGTTAGATATTATTAATATCCTTACTTCACTGCTGAAGAAACTGAGGTCAAGAAAGATTAAATTATATGCTCAAGGTCACCTAGGCATTAAGTACAATAGTGGAAGTAGTAATTTAGGCAGACTGGCTTCTGGCACTACTCTATTTTGCCTTTCTATGAATATGCATTGTTTCAGTAATAAGAAAAGAGTAAAAGTTATATTATTTAAATAAAAGGTGAAGCTATGGCAAAACAAGGGCAGCCAGAGTTTATTAAAAATGAGAGAGAGGGAGAGAAACTAGGCTTGGAGTTTCTAAATTTCCTATTCTCACCTGTTTTGAAAAAAATATAGTCTTTTATAGTAGAGCTTCAAACAGTTAGTGAACCACTACAGTGGACTGAGAACCTGCTGGAGACTGAACATTTTGCAGACGGAGAGAGGGACAGGCTATTCCTGGGAGAAAATCTGTACTTTCCAGCAGCTCAGTGCTTGAGGTTGAAACAGCCTTATCTTTGTTCTGAATTAGTCTGCTCCTCTCCAAGGGCTGTCCTTTTCTTTTCTAGTTTTTTTACTCCTTTGCAAGATCGTGTTGCACAGAACTCCCACATAGATGCGTTTTGGCTAAAAACCTGTTCCTGTAGTGAAGTTTTCCCACCCAATCAAGAACAGGAATCATTGAATTTCTTTAACTTCCTGCATCATTTTCTGGGTGGTTTTCAGAGTTTGTCTGACTCAGGCAGCACCTGATGGCACATTATAGGACTCCTGCAATGAGGCATGATTTACTCTCATCCCTTTCTGTGCATGTTTAATGTGTTAAGCAACAAAACAGCTTTGGTACCCTCCTCCAAGTTGTGGTTCAAATGAATCCCCTTGACAACAGCTGCTCAGCATTTGTTCATCCTTATTCACTACTGTCAGAGAGAGCTCTGCTTTCCCCTGTATTTTTTTTTCAACTGCTTCCTGCATTGTTTGCTTTCCGACCTTTCTTTTGTCCTTCGCAAGTACGCATACTAAAATAAAAATACCAAGGCCAAATGCTTCACTGTTGTTCCTGCACAGCATGCTCTGATTTAGAATTTTTTGGATTGGGCTTGAACTGTGTGTGGGTGTTGGGGTGAGTGGAGGCAGAGAAAGAGATGAGGAGGCAGGAAAGGAACAGAGATGGCTGTCTCCTTTTTTCTGTTTTATTATCTCGTCTTTCTTCTGCCTGCGCCATGGAATAGTCAGAAAAACAGAATGGAATATTTACTAGTGAACTTATTTGTTCATTCATTCATTCACTAGATATTTAGTGTTGCAAGCTGTGGAGCTAAAACAATGTGCAAATGATAAATAAAATAAAGCTCTAGATTTAGAATCAGAGACATTGGTTCTCCCTGGCACTTAAACTTAGTATTGTAAAAGCTGGTGAACATTTATTAAATATGTTTTGATGATAAACTACCTGCTAGCTGTTGTCCTAATTGCCGGGAATATATGAATGAACAATTCCAAGGCAGTCTCAATCATCAGGGAGATTGTAGTTCAGGGAGCCATTTCACCTCTTTGATCCTTACTCAGATCAGTAAACTTTTAGGTTATACTTTATTCTTCTTCTAAGTTCTTCTTTATGGCTTTTCTTTAGTAGGCTATATTCAAGAGTATTGCTCATCTCAGCCCCTTGCCTGCAAATATCTCCATGCGCTGATACCTTTTATTCCTCTTTCCAATTATCTTTTTCTAAAAAAACAAAACAAAACAAAACAAACAAAAAACAATTTTACAACAGCAAAGCTGATAGAATAAGGGTGGCTCAGATAAAGTAATCTGATGCAAACTTCATGTGAAATATGTAACTCTTCACCTCTACTTTAAATCAAGAGCACAACAAATCTCAAATTTGTAAATTTTTAGAGTACCTCAAATTCTAAGTAGAAAATATATAGGCAGCTAAAAGAGAGGTGACTCAGTGTAGACTGCTAACATATTTGCATCTGTTGTAGATCAAAGAATCTGTGACTTGTCCGGAAGTATCAGAAGTCATCTAGGACTGACAGCCAACAAAATAGAAGAGGAACCCGCTCTTGTTTTTCCACAGAAACACCAGTTTAACAATAATATGTAGATCAAAATAATTTTATCAGAAATTGATCCCAGTTAAAAAGTTGTATGCCAAATGAGCACAAAATCAGGAGCAGCCTATTAAATAAGAATAAGCAGCCAGGCGCGGTGGCTCACGCCTGTAATCCCAGCACTTTGGGAGGCCGAGGCAGGTGGATAACGAGGTCAGGAGATCGAGACTATCTTGGCTAACACAGTGAAACCCCGTCTCTACTAAAAATACAAAAAATTAGCTGGGCGTGGTGGTGGGTGCCTGTAGTCCCAGCTACTCGGGAGGCTGAGGCAGGAGAATGGTGTGAACCAGGGAGGCAGAGTTTGCAGTGAGCCGAAACCGTGCCACTGCACTCCGGCCTGGGCGACAGAGTGACTCCGTTTCCAAAAAAAATAAAAGAAGAAGAAATTTCATTTGCTCACATCAGCTCCTTCTTCAATCTGGCACAGCTTAGCACCTACAGAGATCATCTCAGCCCATGGCTTCTACTTAGCCCACAGGAGAGAGTGGTGCATGTACCCAATGTCCCCAGCTGTTAGGTGTACTGCCCAAGGGACTCGTTTTTGTCTTATCTTACCTACAATGCTGATGGAACCAGCATAGTTTGAATGCTTGGAGGCCGCTAAGAGAAAAGGAAAGGAGCAAATAGTTTGCTGTGGTCAGCACAGTTCTACAAGATTTGGAGAAAGCATAGGACCCACAGTCCCTACAATCCTCCAGTGTGGCCAGTTAGAAAGCCTGATGGAACTTGGCAGATGATGGTGAACTATCAGGAACTGAATAAAGTAACATCCTATTTGCATGCAGCTGTACCATAAATCATGGATTTGATGAACTATTTGATGATGGAACTGGGAGTACCACTAGGTAGTCGACTTGGCCAATGCATTTTTCTCCATAGTCATTGCTCCAGAGAGCCAGGAACAGTTTGCCTTCACATGGGACGGGTGACAATGGACTTTTACAGTGTTGCCGCAGGATTATGTGCACAGCCCCACCATATGTCATGGTCTAGTTGCCACAGATTTAGCCCCCTGGCAATGTCCAGGAGGAGTCTGCCTATTTCATTATATTGATGATATTATGTATGCCTCTGATTCTCTTGCAGATTTAGAAGTGGCATTGCCCCTCTTGCGGCAACATTTGGCAGCATGCAGTTGGGGCATCAACAAATCCAAGGTCAAAAGGCCGTATTATCTGCCAAATTCTTGGGAGTTATTTGGTCAGGTAAGACAAAGGCCATCCCAGAGGCTATCACTGATAAAGTTCAGGCATATCTCCAGCCCACTATGGTGAAGCAGTTACAAACTTTGTGGGCCTCCTGGGATATTGGCGGGCATTTGTTCCCCATTTAGCTCAAATGATAAAACCATTGCATTGGTTAAAAAGTAGGGAGCTACCTGGGATTAGGATGATGTGGCTGAGACAGCCTTTCTGGCAGCCAAGCAGGTTATTCAACAGGCACAAGCCCTATGGGTAATTGACCAGGGGGACCTGTTTGAGCTGGATCTGCATGTGACTACAGATGGTTTTGGTTGGGGCCTGCGGCAGCACACAGAGTACTTGAGAACATCAGTGGGCATTTGGTCCCAACTAGGGAAGGGAGCTGAGCTCCAGTATTCCTTGACAGAGAAACAGCTTGCAGTTGCACATGCTGCCCTTCAGCCTTGTGACAGTGTGACAGGATGGGCTGCAGTCTTCATGTGGATGACTTACCCAGTAGTGGGATGGGTGCATTCATGGGTAACAACCTCCCGGACTGGGATGGTGCAGGCATCCATGTTGGTAAAGTGGGGTGCCTACTTGAAGCAGCAGAGTATGCTGAGTACAAGCCCCTTAGCAGCAGAGTTGGGGCCTGTAATCCTAATGCAAAATAAGGCCGTGGGGCCTGAGGCACCCCTAGACCCTGAGCCTTCACTGTTTAAAGAAGGGCATTCACCCAATCCCGATGGGATGTGGTACACAGATGGGTCTAGCTGAGGTGCTATTGCTGCCTGGACCACTGTTATAGTCCAACCTAGTACTGATACCATGTGGTTTGAAACTGGGTGTGGACAAAGTAGCCAATGGTCTGAACTTAGAGCAGTATGGATAGTGATCACCAAGGTGATACCTATGGTAATCTGTACCACTAGCTGGGCTATCGAGGCTCAACCTTGTGGTTAACTACCTGGAACATACAGAAGCGGCTTCTCAGCCACCGACTCATTTGGGGCCAAGTCATGTGACAAGACCTCTGGGAAAAGGCTCATCACAAAGAGGTAAGTATTTACCATGTGTCAGACCATATGCCTTTGGCCATCCCTGCCAATGATGAGGCAGATGCCTTGGCCAAGGTCTGATGATTAGAGTTGGCACTACACAAGATGTGGCCTTGTGGCTACACCAGAAACTGGGACATGCCGGGGGGTAAGCTGATGCAACAGGTCAGTAAGTGTTGGGGTCTGTCCCTGCCCACCTAAGACATTTGGGAGGCTTGTCAGAAATGCCCAGCATGTCCTCAGGCATACCATAAATGGAGGCAGCTTCCCAGTGTTATACAACAAGTAATGATAGGTCGTGCCCTTGACCAGGTGACAAGTAGACTACATCAGGCCACTCCCAAAGTCACAAGGGTATACGCATGTGCTAACAGCTGTGGACATAGCCACAGGCCTGTTGTTCACATTCCCTTGCAGGGTGGCCAACAGAACACCATCCTGGCCCTGCAACACTTATGTGCCCTGTGTGGTCACCCTCTGGCCATTGAGAGGGATAAGGGAACACATTTCACTGGACAACACGTACAACAATGGGCACAACAAATGGACATAAAGTGGGGATTCCATGTGCCATACAACCCGCAAGCTGTGGGTATGATTGAGCGATATAATGGGCTCTTAAATAATGGATTATGGTTGCATGTCACATCCCATCTTTGCAGGGCTGGAGTTCCAGGTGCTCCAAACCTTGAATGAATGGCCACGGAAAGGGGCCCCAGTAGAGGCTTTGTTACACCGGGCTGCTGCCCCCATTCAGTTGCAGATACATACCAAGGATGACCTCCTCCAACCAGGTATGGGGATGAATGGTAACCTGTTTTTGCCTGCCCAAACACCCGTGAAGGCAAGGGAACAGAAAATTTGGATGTGGCCATGGACCCTTCAAGCCCCCCACTGCTGGCGGCTGGCCATCATAGCTCCCTGGGAGAAGGGCCTACAGTATGACTTCATGTCACTCTTTGGGTGTTCATTACATGGCCCCCACACTTTACTGTTTGTAGGGGAATGGCCAGGGAAGGACCCCTCCTCTAGGGGACATATATACTGTCTGTGTGGCCTATTAGGAGCTCCCCCATGACTTTGGCATGGATACAGGACTCAAAGGGACCGTGGGGAGCTGAGAAGGTGTGGTATCATTGACGAGGCAAAAGCCTTTGGCAGGTGCATTCTTATCCAGGATGAAAGGTTAACCTGTATTTTGCCTGAGGGACATGATTTACTTGTTAGTACCTATGCCTGCTCTGTCATTTCAATCATAGTTTAACATGCTCCAACTGCATTTTGGACTGGACCCACACCTACGCTTAGGTGACCAATGTTTCCACCTGTTGGATCTGCACCGCCCTTCCAGCAGCAGCTGCAGACGGCTTGCCTTGGCACATACATTCAGCATTTGCAGAGAACTGGACATGGCTGGTGATCTGCAATCCCATGGCCAACACATGGAATGCAATGCAGCAAGCTTTGGACAAAAGACGTTGCAAGATTCATGGCATGCCCACCCTGTGGCTGGCCCATAGTGTTTATAATGGGTGAGGCTGGTGAGTGGGGGAGCATGTAGCACCCCCAGCCAAGGCACCAGGGTGAATAGAGAAACACTGGGGTAACACCACTGTAGGATGGGTACCCATCATGGACTGTGTAAACATAACACATGTCACCACACCAAAGGTATGGTGGAATAAGTAGCCTCACCAAGATTGGGCCCCAGTGGAGTTTGTGCCCCCTGGGAGTTTATGGGTTTGTGGGGACACAGGGTGGCCTTACCTACCAGCAGACTGGACTGGATGTTGTACCTGGGGGTGGCCTTATGTACCTGCCACTGTTATCCCCATGTTGCCCAGATGCCCGCATAACTGGGAGGTGGTATGCTCTTGGTTTTGCAAGTGCGATGAGCACCCTGGTGGTTCTACCCCTTGGCAATGACTACCCCTGGAGCAAGCATCATAACTGTAGAAACACAAGTCACTGCTCTTATAGGGTACACCACCCAGGCTCTGAAATACACCCAAGTGGCCTTTGTCCTGTTAACAGATGAGGTTTGATCAGATCAGAAATGTGGTGTAGCAAAACTGAATGGCCTTAGGCATAATAACTGCTGCCCAAGGGGGCACTTGTACCCTTTTAGGAACACAATGTTACAGTTTTATCCCTGATAACTGGCAGAACACAACAACAGCTCTGCAATGGGTGTCGTGGGAGAGTAAGGCATTTGAGAGCCTTACTGATGACCCCCTGCAGAAATGGTGGGCAGCCATAGGCTCTGGCCTATGCTGGGCCCTAATAGTCATAGGTACCATAGCTGGGATCCTAGCAGTGAGCTGTTGCTGTCTGTGTTGTTGTTGTGGGTAATGGATTCAGGGCTCTGCCCTATGAGCACATGTCCCTGCCCAGAGGACACCGTTGGCCTAGGGGGTGGAGTGTAAGGGAAATGGCTATGCTTTATCAGGAGCAGGTCGAGGCAGCTTTCTGGTACAAGACAACTCAGCAGGTTTGGAGTGCAGGCACACATCCCCACACATTATGTAAGTATGCAACATGAGGCACATTAGGTGATCATCCGTGTGAGCTTGTGCTTGGCTCAGGGCCACTAATTGTCTGTAAAAGATATAATTACTCTGCTAACACTACACATATGGTTTACTTGCACCCAGACAAAGAGTAAAGCCATGTCAAAACTGTCAACTATTCTTCAAGTGTTTCTTCAGCTACCCACCACTCACCCACTGACTCTCCTGGGACCTCAGTTAGAACCTAACAAACTCCACTTTAAATAATGAATAGACATCCCAACACAAAAAATTTAGGCAGCAGACTTGAACCACACTATAGACCAAATGGACCAAACAGGCATACATGGAACATTCCCCCAACAGCAGCAGAATACATGTTTTTCACAAGCACACACAGAATATTCTCCAGGATAGATCACATGTTAGATCATAAAGCAAGTATTACCAAATATAATAAGATTAATCATATACAAAGTATGTTTTCCAACCACAATAAAATGAAACTAAAAGTCAATAACAGAAAGAAAAATAGAAAATTAAAAATATGTGGGCACTTAACAACACACTCTTGAGTAACCAGAGGGTCAAACTGGAAATAAAAATGGCAATCAGAAAATACATGGAGACAGCATAGCTAAATTTGTAGAATGCAGCAAAAGTAGGATTAAGAGACACATTTATAGCAATAAATTCCTACATTTAAAAAGAAACATTTCAAAAAAACAACTTAATGTTTTACCTGAAGGAACTGAAAAAGGGGGAACAAACTCAGGTCAAAATCAGTGAAAGGAAAGTAATATATATATTACAGTAGAAATAAATGAAATAGATAATAGAAAAACAGTATAAAAAAATTTAGAATTTAAAAAGGGAGAGGGATGATTCAAATAAATAAGATCAACAACGAAAGAGGAGACAACTGATTCCACAGAAATTAAAAAGACCATAAGAGACTACTATGAACAATCATATGCCAACAAATTGAATAATCTAGAAAAAATGAATAAATTCCCAGAAACAAAAAACCTACCAAGACTGATCATAAGGAAATAGAAAATCGGAATGGACAAATAATGAGTAAAGGGATTAAATCAGTAATTAAAGCCTCTCAACAAAACAAAACCCAGGACAAGATGGTTCCACTGGCATAGTCTGCTAAATACTTAAAGGCTAATTAACACCAATTATTCTCAAACTCTTCCAAAAGACTGAACAAGAGGGAAAACTTTCAAACTAATTTTCTGAGTCCAGTGTTACCAAAGCCAGACAAATACACTACAAGAGAAGAAAAGCACAATCTAATAACCCTGATAAATGTGGATAAAAAATCCTTAAGAGAGTTCTAGTAAACCAATTTAGCGACAAATGAAAAGGATCATATACAATGACAAAGTGGGATTTTTCCCTGATATACAAAAATGACACAACATATGCAAATTAACTAATGTAATACACCATGTTGATAAAGGATAGTCACATGATTATCTCAATAAATGCTGAAAAAACATTTGACAAAATGCAACATTCTTTCAGGTTAACAAGTCTCAATGATGCAACACTCCATGTTAACAATCTCAATGAACTTGATACAGAAAAAATTTACCTCGAAATACTACAGACCATATATAAAAAACTCACAGCTAACATTATTCATAAGATTGAAAAATTAAAAACTTTTCCTCTAAGTTCAGGAAAAAAACCAAGGATGCTAACTCTTGTCATTTTTATGCAACATAATACTGGAATTCCTTCCCATAAAGAGGAGTTAAGAAAAAACAAAAGGAATAAAAACCAAACAAATTAGAAAAAGATATATAATCACTTCCCTCTGCAGATGACATAACCTTGTATGTGGAAAACCCTAAATACTCCACAAAACACCGTTAAAACTAAAGTAAGCAAATTCAGTAAAGTAGCGGCATATGAAACTCACATACAAAATTATAAAATAATTAAGAGTAAGATTAACCAAGGGGATGAAAAGCATGCACAATGAAAACTATAAAGCATTGATGAAAGAAATTAGAGACGACAAAAATATATGGAAATGTTACCTGCACTGAGTCCACATCCGTATGAGTCAGCAGCAACCGCCATTTTTTCCCCTCTGAAAGAAGAATCCAACTGAGGGGCATAATGCAGAAGCAGAGAGAGGAGCAAGTTTTAGAGCAGGAATGAAAGTTTATTAAAAAGCTTTAGAGCAGGAATGAAAGGAAATAAACTAAACTTGAAAGACGGCCAAGCAGGCGACTTGAGAAATCTAGTATGCAGCTTGACGCTTTGACTTGGGGTTTTAAATGTTGGCATACCTCTGAGGTTTTGCTTTTTCTCCCTGTAAGCCCAACTCCTGAGATTTTATTGGCTATCACTGATAACCAGTTTCAGGTGTTTTCTTTTAACAGCGGGACTTTCCCTGGTGCCAGCTGTGACCAATTATTACTTTAGCTAGACAGTTAACAACTGCCTGACCATCACCTGATGGTCACCCAACACTCCTGGTTTGTGTAGGAGGGAGGGAGCCCTCTCCTGCCATGTTCATAAATGACTAGCTACCCACTGTGACAGAAAGAAATTCCATATTCATAAACTGGGAAACAATATTATTAAAATATCCATATTACCCAAAGCAACCCACAGATTTAATGCTATCCTTATCAAAATCTCATTGGCATTTTTACAGAAAAAGAGAAAAAAAACCCTAACATTTATATGGACCCACAAAATACATTGAATAGCCAAGAGCAAAGCTGAAGGGATCATAGTTCTTGATTTCCAAATCTACCGTAATGAAAGCAATCATATGGCAGAAGAACAGATATATAGAAAAATTGAACAGAATGGAGAGCACAGAAATAAATCCACACACAGTTGGTTAAATGCTCCTGCGCAAGAGTGCCAAGAAAACAAAATGGAGAAAATAGTTTCTTCAACGAATGGTGTTGAGAAACCTGGAAGTGTGGAGAAATTGGATGCCTTTCACAATGTTAATGGGAATGTAAAATGGTACAGCCACTATGTAAAATAGTACAGAGGTTTCTTAAAAAGTTAAAAATAGAACTAGCATATAATCTAGCAATCACCTCTCTTAGTATACACCCAAAATTACTGAAATAAGGATCCTGAAGAGAAATCTACTCTCCCACATTTATAGCAGCATTCTTTACAATAGACACCAAAATATGGAAACCACCCAAAGACCCATCAACAGATGAATGAATTTTTTTAAATGTGGTATATCTACACAATGGAATATTATTCAGCCTTTAAAAAGAATGAAAGACTGCCATATGTAAAAATGTGGAAGAATATGGAGGACATTTTGCTAACTAAAATGAGCTAGTCACAGAAGGATTCCACTTATTTATCTAAAATATTTAAACTCAAAAAAAGAAAGTAGAAGTAGTAGGAGCTGGGAAAAGGGAGAAATGGAAGTTGCTGTCCAGTGGGTATAAAGTTTTATTGATGTGAGATGAATAAATTCCAGAGATCTTCTGTACCACAATGTGTCTATCTATAGTTAATAATACTGTACTGTATGTTTAAAAATTTGTCAATAAGCAATATTCATGTTAAGTGTTTCTACCACAATAAAAAAAGCACAAAAGACTCATTTATTCCCAATGTTATTAAATAAGGAAACTGATGCACAGACTCTGGTTACTAATAGAAGACAGTGTATTGGTGATTATGAGAATAGATATGGCCTGAATTTATTGGGCACTTTACTACGAGTAGATTAAAATGTTCTGTGGAGAAATATGTCATTGAATTGTCATATAATTGTGTGAGGTGAGTAATCATGTAATCTTCACTTTATAAATGACAAATTGAGAATTAGAAACATTATGTGCATGCCTAGGAGAGAAAAACAGAGAAAATTGCCCAGTGAGCTTTCAAACCTGGGTGTCATTTTTTCTTTCTCTAAAAATAGACAAATCCACCTGTGAACTACTATTGTGCCTTCCTTCTTTTTTATCAGTGTGTTTATCCACTATCCCATATAGCTCATGAGCTGTTCCTCATTTGCTCAGGATTTTTTTTATTTCTTCTATGTGAGTTCATGCATTTCTCATGGCCATTTCTTAAAGTTATTGAGACCCTTTTCATAGCAGTGTAGGGTATATCAACAGCAATAAGGCAAAAGTAGCTATTGCAATTCTAGACATTTTGGTCTATAAATGTAAGTATCAGAATTAAGTTGGGCTGATTTTTTATGTCAGAGGCTTAAACAAGATAAAATTTTATTTATTTCATAAGCAAGAGAAGTCTAGATGTAGGCAGTCTGCTGCTGGTATGAGGTGTGTCTGCTTCACTATTAATAGGCCCTGGTCTTCTATCTGCTGTTTGTTCCTCAGCATATGCCACCAATCTTCAAAGTCACTTCATGTCCCAAGATGACCATGGCATTTCTGACCATCGCTTCCACTTCACATCAGCAAGGACAAGACTTAGAGTTGAGTAAAAAAGTAATAACTCTTTTTTTATTTTGACAGGGTCTTGTTTTGTCACCTAGTTTAGAGTGCTGTGGTACAATCATGGCTCAATGCAGCTTCCACCTTCTGGGCTCAGGTGATCCTCCCACCCTGTTGAGTAGCTGGAACTATAGGTACAAACCACTATTCCCAGCTAATTTTGTAAAAAAATTGTTTATAGAGACAGGGTCTTACTATGCTGCCCAAGCTGGGCTCAAACTCCTGAGCTCAATCAATCTTTCCACCTTCGCCTCCCAAAGTGCGGGGATTACAGGCATGAACCATTGCACCTGGCCTGAGTAAGGACTCTAAAGAGCTTTCCTGGGGTCAACCATGACCTCTCTTCACATCTCACTGCTAGCTGTATCTACAAAAGTGCAAAAGAGATGCAGAATTGATCTGAACAGAGTCCATATACCGCCCCTGTTCCAATGTAGGAGTCAGTTAATAAGAAGGAAAGAATATATTTCTATACCACATTTTGATATGTACATTATTTGTATCTCTAGTATTTTCTAATGTATGAATCAAAAATGTGGTGTATGAATCAAAAATGTGGTATATGAATAAACATCCAGATAGAATATCAGATAGACAAATATCTCAGCCAGGTGTGGTGACTCATGCCTGTAATCCCAGCATGTTGGGAGGCTGAGCCCAGGAGTTCGAGACCAGCCTGGACAACATGGCAAAACCCCGTCTTGACAAAAAAAAAAAATTACACACACACACATACACACACACACACACACACAAACACACACATATATATACACACACATATACATATGCATATATACATATATATGTGTGTGTGTGCATATATACATATATATATAATTAGCAGGGTGTGGTGGTTCACGCCTGTTGTCCCAGCTACTTGGGAGCCTGAGGTGGAAGGATAACCTGGGTCCGGGAGGTTGAGGCTGCGGTGAGCCGAGGTCATACCACTGCACTCCAGACTGGATGACAGAGTTAGACACTGTCTCAAAAACAAACAACAAACAGAGACAAATATCTTAGGTTAAACATTCAAATAATAATTAAAATTAGATGTAGAAAATCTTTTACATGTTGACAGTGGTTTTCACAAAATAATTTTAATGTATAGGAACCCATGGATTTGCCTCAGGTGATACTTTAAGATGAGTTGTGAAGTCTTATGGAGGAGTAGAAGATAGGGTCAAAGGAAAACTAGCAGGTTACTCATCCCTGGATCTTCTTCCGAAGATCCTGATTCATATAACAGAGATTTGTTTCATTTCCTTAGAGAAAAAATGAAGAGATGCTGTTGCAAAGAAAAATGAATGGAAACTATTTATATATAACTGCTTTTATTCCTATTTTACTTGAAAGTGACTTGCCAAATAAGTCCATGACAGGTGTTAATCTAAAAAATTCAAGTCCCTTGACTCTCAGTTTAGTGCAGTGCTCGTTCTACTAAGTTATATTAGAATTTACCAGTAGGATTTATATGCACAACCCTAAGCTTTAGAATTTTTGCTCTTTTGCTAGCTCATGCTCTATGGTCATAACTGATTTATTGATTCATTTAATAAAGCAGATGCTGAACATAATGAGCAGCAACTATAAACTCAAATGAAATCAGCAGAGGTAAAGGAGAAACTTTGCTCTGAATAAATGCATTATATATATGCCCATGTATTTAAAATTATTCTTCTATTAATAAATATTATAAAACAAACTGGAAGAAAAAAACAGTTTTACTCTGCCACCTTTAATATTTTTTGTATAACACTATTTTTGTAAAAGAGTTTTTAGGAAAATACCATTTTGGTGATGCTTCAGGTGTTTAGACACAGAGATAGTCTTTTATTATTTCCTTTGTTTTTGCAATAAGTAGAATTATACTTAAAACAATTTACAGGTCGGGCATTGTGGCTCACTCCTGTAATCCTAGTGAGAGGTGACAGTGTGCTGGCAGCCCTCACAGCCCTCACTCACTCTCGGTGCCTCCTCGGCCTTGGCGCCCACTCTGGCCATGCTTGAGGAGCCCTTCAGCCCACCACTGCACTGTGGGAGCCCCTTTCTGGGCTGGCCAAGGCCGGAGCTGGCTCCCTTAGCTTGCAGGGAGGTGTGGAGGGAGAGGCATTAGCGGGAACTGGGGCTGCACGCGGCACTTGCAGGGCAGCTGGAGTTCTAGGTGGGCGTGGGTTTGGCGGGCCCGCACTGGGAGCGGTCGGCTGGCCCTGCCGCCCTGGGCAATGAGGAGCTTAGCACCCGGGCCAGTGGCTGCGGAGGGTGTGCTGGGTCCCCCAGCAGTGCTGGCCCACTGGCACTGCCCTCGATTTCTCGCTGGGCCTTAGCTGCCTCCCCATGGGGCAGGGCTCGGGACTTGCAGCCCACCATGCCTGAGCCTCCCTGCCCCTCCGTGGGCTCCTGCGCGGCCAGAGGCTCCCCGACAAGCACCGCCCCCTGCTCCACAGCGCCCAGTCCCATTGACCACCCAAGGGCTGAGGAGTGTGGGCACACAACGCGGGACTGGCAGGCAGCTCCACCTGCGGCCCCGGTGCAGGATCCACTGGGTGAAGCCAGCTGGGCTCCTGGGTCTGATGGGGACTTGGAGAACATTTATGTCTAGCTAAGGGATTGTAAATATGCCAATCGGCCCTCTGTATCTAGCTCAAGGTTTGTAAACACACCAATCAGCACCCTGTGTCTAGCTCAGGGTTTGTGAATGCACCAGTCCGCACTCTGTATCTAGCTACTCTGGTGGGGACTTGGAGAACCTTTGTGTCCACATTCTGTATCTAGCTAATCTAGTGGGGAGGTGGAGAACTTTTGTGTCTAGCTCAGGGATTGTAAATGCACCAATCAGCACCTTGTCAAAACAGACCAATCAGCTCTCTGTAAAATGGACCAATCAGCAGGATGTGGGTGGCGCCAGATAAGAGAATAAAAGCAGGCTGCGGGAGCCAGCAGTGGCAACCCAGGTCCCCTTCCACACTGTGGAAGGTTTGTTCTTTCACTCTTTCCAATAAATCTTGCTGCTGCTCACTCTTTGGGTCCACACTGCCTTTATGAGCTGTAACACTCACCACGAAGGTCTGCAGCTTCACTCCTGAAGCCAGTGAAACCGCGAACCCACCAGAAGGAAGAAACTCCAAACACATCCGAACATCAGAAGGAACAAACTCCAGACGCGCCACCATAAGAGCTGTAACACTCACTGCGAGGGTCCGCAGCTTCATTCTTGAAGTCAGTGAGACCAAGAACACACCAATTCTGGACACACTAGCACTTTGGTATGATGAGGTGGGCGGATCACAAGGTTGGAAGAATGAGACCAGGCTGGCTAACACAGTGAAACCCCATCTCTGGCAAAAAAAAAAAAAAACAAAATAGAAAAAATTAGCTGGGCATAGTGGCGGGCTCCTGTAGTCCCAGATACTTGGGAGGCTGAGGCAGGAGAATGGCGTGAACCCAGGAGGTGGAGCTTACAGTGAGCCGAGATCACGCCACTGCACTCCAGCCTGGGCAACAGAGCGAGGCTCCATCTCAAAAAACAAACAGACAGACAAATTTACAAATGGCCACATACTTCATTGCTAGAAAGCAGTGGAGTGAGGATAAAGTGACCACTGATGTCTATACAAGATCTCAATCTGATGGCACACATGCTGCAGGAAACATCAGCAGTGGTTTTAAAACAGTTTAAAAACAGGTAGTCCTCTCCTCTTGACCATTATGGTCTGCCATGCTATTTCCAGGAACCCAAAACATCTTTATTGCCACACACCAAAACATGGAAAGGGTTTCAGTTTCCCTCTTTTTACATGGGATAATGGACTCTGTCTTGGAGTACTTGGCTACTCTTCCCTGGTCAGCTTTTGTGGTAGGTAACATGTACACACTTGCCCAAAAGTTCTTTTTTTCTCTCAGCCACTGCTCATGGTTTAAACTTTTCAGAGCTGAGCTCGGCGTAATTTATATAGAGAGACATCATGCTGAACCAACTGGCACATGTTCTTTCTTGTAGAAAATTGAATATTTCATATGGTGTTTTAATGATGTTTTAACACAGTGGGGCAAAAAACAAACAAAAAACACAAAACCAGCCATCAAAAAAAAGCCTGTAACTTATCTGATACTATCACTTAATTGTAGAAAAAAAATTCCACCTCACTTAACTCTTTTTTTTCCCTCTAGGTTGGGCCTGTTTTCCAGATTTTTTTTTTTTTTTTTGCTTGGCATCAAGTTGTAACTGCTGACCACCTGTATTAGAAATGCCATATTTTGGGCTGAGCACGGTGGCTCACGCCTGTAATCCCAGCACTTTGGGAGGCTGAGGCAGGAGAATGGCATGAACCCGGGAGGCGGAGGTTGCAGTGAGCCGAGATTGCGCCACTGCACTCCAGTCTGGGCGACAGAGTGAGACTCTGTCTCAAAAAAAAAAAAAAAAAAAAGATCAGATAGTTGTAGATGTATGGCATTATTTCTGAGGGCTCTGTTCTGTTCCATTGGTCTATACCTCTGTTTTGGTACCAGTACCATGCTGTTTTGGTTACTGTAGCCTCGTAGTATAGTTTGAAGTCAGATAGCGTGATGCCTCCAGCTTTGTTCTTTTGGCTTACGATTGACTTGGCAATGTGGGCTCTTTTTTGGTTCCATATGAACTTTAAAGTAGTTTTTTCCAATTCTGTGAAGAAAGCCAGTGGTAGCTTCATAGGGATGGCATTGAATCTATAAATTACCTTGGGCAGTACGGCCATTTTCATGATATTGATTCTTCCTATCCATGAGCATGGAATGTTTTTCCATTTGTTTGTATCCTCTTTTATTTCGTTGAGCAGTGGTTTGTAGTTCTCCTTTAAGAGGTCCTTCACGTCCCTTGTGAGTTGGATACCTAGGTATTTTATTCTCTTTGAAGCAATTGTGAATGGGAGTTCACTCATGATTTGGCTCTCTGTTTGTCTGTTATTGGTGTATAAGAAAGCTTGTGATTTTTGCACATTGATTTTGTATCCTGAGACTTTGCTGAAGTTGCTTATCAGTTTAAGGAGATTTTGGGCTGAGACGATGGGGTTTTCTAGATATACAATCATGTCATCTGCAAACAGGGACAATTTGATTCCTCTTTTCCTAATTGAATACCCTTTATTTCCTTCTCTTGCCTGATTGCCCTGGCCAGAACTTCCAACACTATGTTGAATAGGAGTGGTGAGAGAGGGCATCCCTGTCTTGTGCCACTTTTCAAAGGGAATGCTTCCAGTTTTTTCCCATTCAGTATGATATTGGCTGTGGGTTTGTCATAGATAGCTCTTATTATTTTGAAATACGTCCCATCAATACCTAATTTATTGAGAATTTTTAGCATGAAGGGCTGTTAAATTTTGTCAAAGGCCTTTTCTGCATCTACTGAGATAATCATGTCGTTTTTGTCATTGGTTCTGTTTATATGCTGGATTATGTTTATTGATTTTCGTATGTTGAACCAGCCTTGTATCCCAGGGATGAAGACCACTTGATCATGGTGGATAAGCTTTTTGATGTGTTGCTGGACTTGGTTACCCAGTATTTTATTGAGGATTTTTGCATCAATGTTCTTCAGGGATATTGTTCTAAAAATATCTGATCTTTGACAAACCTGAGAAAAACAAGCAATGGGGAAAGGATTCCCTATTTAATAAATGGTGCTGGGAAAACTGGCTAGCCATATGTAGAAAGCTGAAACTGGACCACTTCCTTAAACCTTATACAAAAATTAATTCAAGATGGATTAAAGACTTAAATGTTAGACCTAAAACCATAAAAACCCTAGAAGAAAACCTAGGCAATACCATTCAGGACATAGGCGTGGGCAAGGACTTCATGTCTAAAACACCAAAAGCAATGGCAACAAAAGCCAAAATTGACAAATGGGATCTAATTAAACTAAAGAGCTTCTGCACAGCAAAAGAAACTACCATCAGAGTGAACAGGCAACCTACAGAATGGGAGAAAATTTTCGCAATCTACTCATCTGACAAAGGGCTAATATCCAGAATCTACAATGAACTCCAACAAACTTACAAGAAAAAAACAACCCCATCAAGAAGTGGGCAAAGGATATGAACAGACATTTCTCAAAAGAAGACATTTATGCAGCCAAAAGATGCATGAAAAAATGTTCATCATCACTGGCCATCAGAGAAATGCAAATCAAAACCACAGTGAGATACCATCTCACACCAGTTAGAATGGCGATCATTAAAAAGTCAGGAAACAACAGGTGTTGGAGAGGATGGGGAGAAATAGGAACACTTCTACACTGTTGGTGGGACTGTAAACTAGTTCAACCATTGTGGAAGTCAGTGTGGCAATTTCTCAGGGATCTAAAACTAGAAATACCATTTGACCCAGCCATCCCATTACTGGGTATATAACCAAAGGAGTATAAATCATGCTGTTATAAAGACACATGCACACGTATGTTTATTGTGGCACTATTCACAATAGCAAAGACTTGGAACCAAGCCAAATGTCCAACAATGATAGACTGGATTAAGAAAATGTGGCACATATACACCATGGAATACTATGCAGCCATAAAAAAGGATGAGTTCATGTCCTTTGTAGGGACATGGATGAAGCTAGAAACCATCATTCTCAGCAAACTATCGCAAGGACAAAAAACCAAATACCGCATGTTCTCACTCATAGGTGGGAATTGAACAATGAGAACACTTGGACACAGGAAGGGGAACATCACACCCCAGGGCCTGTTGTGGGGTGGGGGGTGGGGGGAGGGGGGAGGGGTAGCATTCGGAGATACACCTAATGTAAATGAAGAGTTAATGGGTGCAGCACACCAACAAGGCACATGTATACATATGTAACAAACCTGCACGTTGTGCACTGGTACCCTAAAACTTAAAGTATAATAACAATGAAATTAAAAAAAAAGAAAACTTACTATGCGAAAAAAATACATAAATAAAAAATAATAAAAAAAGGACAAAAGGAATCTGCAGAATTTTTCCTTTGATGCTCTGTTTTTTTTTTTAATTTAAACAAGAGCAAATATATAACTGAAAAGTTTCTCTTCAAATAGAGTGGTGAACAACATTTAATTTGATCCTAGTGGATATTCTAGGGAAGAAATTTTGCACGTTAAAACTCTGAAAGACTTCAGCCTCAAGGGTTTCTGTATTTCAATGTTTCTCCTAGAAATGATAAGCTGTGAGCTCTCACTTATAACTCATAAGTCATTACAGGATTTTCCCTGGAGACATAGGTCCGATTTTACACGTTAGTCAAAAAAACAAGCAAGAAGCAAAGCAAAACATGAGAATGTCCTGAAAATGACAGGTAAACTATCATCCCAGCTTTATCTAAAACCTAGTGCCTTCGTATCTTCAATTATTTGGACAGATGTGGTATTTTAATTTGAGAAAAGAATTCAAGAAAATAGATTGAAGAGAAGAGAAGAATAATTGAAAGGTTAAGGGAAACATTGATCTTCCAGGTGATAGATCTTATAATTTAGCATTGAAGGAATTCTCACCAAAAAATAATCAAAACTCTTTATATTACATTTGCGAAATCTGGTATGGCCTGATTTTCTTTAAATGATTTTGTGCAGCCACTGTGATACTCCATTGTTTGATCACTAAAGTACTTGAACAGTTGATCAACAGCAACTTAACTCTGTTTGCTTTAAGAAATACAAAAGCTACAATTTTCTGAGGGAGAGCACCTCCAGCCTGATCAACGCCTCCTTGATTCTATGTCTCCTATCCACCTCACCTGTTCTTCACTGTACAGTATCCTTCCAGTTCTATAAAAACCTGATAAAATAAAAACTTCCATCTTATATACATACTGATAAAATAAAAACTTCAGCTGAATTAAAGTTAAAAGAATTTAGTTAAGCAAAGAACAACTCGCCAATTGGGCAGCCACCTGAGACAGCCTAGACTCAGAGACTCCAGTGCAACCACGTGGTGGAAGATTTATGGACAGAAAAAGGAAAGTGACATAGGGCAAGTGGAAGTGAGTTACAGAAAATGGAAGTGAGGTACAGAAATAACTGGATTGGTTACAGATGGCGTTTGCCTTATTTGAACAGTTGGCTATATTTGGCCAAAACTCGGTGATTGGCACAAGTGCAGACTACGTTCTGTTTACACTTTCACTTGTTATAGTTCACAGTGTACAGTAAAACCTTTACGCTGAGCCTAAAATATGTAAGGGAGCAGCTTTAGGCTGAATTTGATTTAATAGTGCCTAGTCTTCTAGTTCCTACTACTCCTCTACACCCATTGAAATTGCCTTGTTCTCTCACATTCTGTAATTTTTATTCTTGGTTACTGTGCTTCCTCCACAGACTGTTAATCCTCATTATTTGTTTTCTTTCTTAACAGGCTGACCAAATTGTGAGGGAAAATCTTAACACAGCGATTTTTTAGTTTACTAAAAATCCATTTACAGTTCTAAGAGGATATTCTGTAAATCTACTGAATATAGAGTGAAAAACAAGTGTACAGATGAGAAGAGTAAACAATATATAATAAAGTGATATGAACTTGATTCCACTGTTTGGATCCTAAAAATTATTTATTATAATAAATAACTGCGTACCTTTACACAACATACAATAATTTTCAAAGAACGATACTATAGCGAGTAGAATTGGCTGAAAATACAAATGGGTTTGATTTGGTTTGGCTCTGTTCCCCCACCGAAATCTCATTGTGAATTTTAATCCCTAGTGTTAGGGGAGGAAACTAGTAGGAGGTTACTGGATCATGTGGACAGATTTCCCCCTTGCTGTTCTCATGGTAGTGAGTTCTCATGAGATCTGATGGTTTAAAAGTGTGTGTCACTTCCACCTTCTCTCTCTTTCTCTCTCCTACTCCACCATAGTAAGACATGCTTGCTTCCCCTTCCCCTTCCCCTTCCACCATGACTGAAAGTTTCCTGAGGCCTCCCAGCCATGCTTCCTGTACAGCCTGCAGGACTCTGAGTCAATTAAACCTGTTTTTTTTTTTCATAAATTACCCAGTCTCAGGAGTTCTTTATAGCAGTGTGAGAACGTACTAATGTAATATTCAAAAAGGATTTAGAAAATGTTTGTGAGCATCTGTTTAATACTATAATAATTCTCACATAGTTTTTCAGCAATTAGATAATTCTTAGGATAATGAAAACTATCTTTCCAAGTTGGATGGAGCCCACTGCTATATTAAAGATCAAATAAAGCTTGTAATAACAATCCTACTTATTTAGAGTCATTTAATCTAGCATCTATCACTTTACATTTTTAACATCATAAGATTTTTAAAATGTATTATATCTGTTAATAAGAACACATTAAGAAGGACTCTCTGGGTTGAATATATTAATGAGCAATGCATTTTTAATATGACTTTTATAGGATAAAATATATTACTCAAAAGTTGGTCTTCAAAAATACATTTGTATTCTAATAGAATTTGACCCATTGTATATAATGAAAATTTAGGTATTGTATTAGTATACATTATAAAAGAATATGAATATATTGTGTATTAATAAACCTAACATCATTAACTTTTCACAATCTGTTTTGTGAAGAATAATTTTAAGTTTGCTTCTCTGAGCATTCACCAGAGAGTAAGATTACTCAGCATATGTGAAATTGTATAGCTTTTTGGGTAGCATGTTTGACTTTTATGCTCATATTGCCACAAGAATGCAACTTGTAGGTTCACTTTGGATAAAATTTGAGAGATAAAGTAATTCTAATTATAGGAATGCAGCATATTAGAACGGTCTAATGAGATAAACAATTTGGTTTCTATGTTATCTGCGGTAAGGGACAATCCCCATGCTTGACACCAGTTCATGTAGCTGTCACAGGCGAAACATGCAAGCTGTTCCAGGAATCTAAGTCTTCCATGAGCACAGTTTTGGAAGCCATAATTACTCATTTGTTTGTTTTGTTTTCATAAATATGCTTACAGGTATTAATACAAATTTTAGGAGCAATTCTTACTTAAATGATACATGTGTTTTGAGTCATGCTATCTAAATTTATCGGACAATTTAACATTAATTTGCTTGAAACGTAATAAATGGCAAGAAAAGTGTGATGGCTAATAACCATGTATAATTTTTTATAGGCCAAATATCTACTGGTTTGTGAGTCCTCATCCAGAAAGAGGCAAAGAGTCACTATCACTCCCCAGCCAAAAATGTTTTCTGCAATTTCCAAAATAAATGCTGTATTGTGTTCACATACGAGTCTGCCAGTTCCAATTATCCCTTGGTAAAAGCCATAATAAAACTCCTGCTTCAACTCATACAAATCCACCAATTCTCTAGAAAGCTATTTAGAGAAGCTTAAGATAGTGCAAGTATCAAAGCGCTTGTTTAGGCTCCTGTTCCTAGAGTTCCGAAGTTCTCAATCTTTGGGCTACTAGAAGTGTGTTGGCATCTGTGAAGATGTGCATGTGTGCAAATTGGGATTTTTGTTTGAGGAGTGAGTGTGACTCTGTAGCTTGTGCTTCAATTTGTTACCAGGACTCCCAAAGCAGCTCTGCTTGTGCCTAGGGTCTCATAAAGGTCCTCTGGAATTGTTCCACAATTTCTACCCCAATCACCTTTCTCTGTGATTCTCAAAAATTGCCTAAGAGACCTACTGTAAGACAGGCACTTTATAATGATTCTGGCCTCTGTTTCTTCCTTTGGCACCTCTTCTCTCAAAACTGTCTAATTCCACTTACAAACAAAATATGCAATGGATGGACAGAGAAAAGCAGAAAATAGATACTAGGTTGTATATGTCATTAACGCTAAAATCAAAGAGATGAGAAAAAGAGGCCAGCCATGCCAATAGCATATAATAATGTGTGTGTGTGTGTGTGTGTGTGTGTGTGTGTATGTGTATGCATGTGTGTGGAGAGAGATGAAGAATTAGGAAGAGTTGGGGAGGAATAATCCAGTCCAAGAGTATATAAAGAACTGAAGGAAACCCAGTAACAATAGTATAATGAACAAAAAGAAAAGAAACAGTGGATGAGGAGGATTAGATAAAAGCCATGATCATAAAGAATCATGTAGTTTATGGTAGGGATTGAAATTTTATAAATAATAGTTTTACTGAAAACCTATGAAGTATTTTAAATTCATAAGGACATTTTATTGTAGTAGTTGAGAACTTTAATGTTTGCTATCTTGCCTTAAAAACCTGAAGTCAATAAACTCAGTTTATAGATCACTGATTATGACTAAATTAATTTTCTGGTGAAGGAAGCTGATTCTTTCAATCAGAGATGTGTATTTATCACTTCTATTATATTATCACAAGAGGTCTCAATATACAGTACAACTTAAATAAGTACCATGAGTATTCTGTTGTTATACAATCCTTATCTAAATGCTCTGAATATTTTACATTAAAAAATAAAATATCAAAATATCAAAAACTCAATTTTATGGAGGATACATATTTTCCTAATAGGTCAGTTCAAAATTATGCTTTTTCTTTTCAAGGCACAGTTAAGGGCTAACATATCCGTGTTACAATATTTAGAAAGACATATTTTAAGGAAATACTTATACTGTTAATCTTTCCATATGCTTGAGTGTTTGATGATATTATAGCTTGAAACTATTGTAGAATTGTATTCAAACAGTACATTTATTTATATTTGTATTGCTTTTCAATCTGAAGTCAGTTTTCATCTCTTTCTAGATAATTCCTTTTGGAAAATGACAAGAAAATTTTGGGATTTTTCAGGGGTGCTTATATCCTTAGCCTCCTTTTCCTTTAGTTTGCATGATAAGCTGTAGAGAGAAATAGAATTTGAATATTAAAATAATTTCTATGGATCTTTCTTAATTTTTTTCTTGTTTAACATGTCTTTTGTCCTTTTCTCATTTTCTGTGTTCCAGATCTTCATTCCCAAGAATAGTTTTATATAATGCAAAGAAATCTGTTAAGAGGAAATTCAAGTTGGGGCATATTTGGGCAACTAGTATAAAGTTTTCAATGAAAAAATTATTATAACGGGGTTAAACATTGACAGAGAACCTAAAACTACTACTAGGAAAACAAAGTTGATGGGTATGTATTTCTAGCATAAGTCACAAGATTGTATGCAAAAGTGCAAGAGAGCCTTCACTAGAGGCCTCATCTCTTTTCAGTTTTACCAAATTACTTCCTTTCTCTGTTTTTTCTCCTTCCAACTTCCTTTTGTTTTTACCAATGCAAAAACAAAAAACAAAAAACAAAAAAAACAAAAAGCAGCTGTTGTTCTATTTAAAATAGAAAGGCATATTTGAAATTACCATGGAACTGGCAAGGTGTATGCTTCTAAAAAGTTAAATTTGAAGATGAATATTTATGTTAGTAGTGAGTTCCAAGTCTTTGAAGAAAATATTTGCTTTTAATGAATCTATCCTAGCCAAGCTAGCTGCTGGAATAACGAATAAGGAATTTGGAAAAATACTAAAACAAACTGCTCAATAATTTCTTTTTCTTTTACTGATTTCAAATTTCCCTTTTCAGCAAAGTACTGTCTTACTAAAATCTCAAGTTAAAATTTGCAAAATTTTTGATAACTTCTTTGTGAAAATTTGACAATCACCTCATGTTGCTTGGTTGAGCTGTTTCTTTTTTTTTTTTTTTCCAAAAGTAGAAATACTAAACATTTGAACATACTTTAGTTGTATTGCTCGAGTAGATTTATCCAATCCAGGAATCCCAGGTTTCTATAAAACCTTGACTCAGCTATTGGTTGGTAGATGAAGTGCAATACAACAAGAAATAATACTACTAATAATAATTGCATTGAATTTTCCTGCTCCACTGGATTATTTTGCTGCTTTCCATTTACTCTAGCAATGAAAGTTTGTAGAATGTTTCCTGGAATTCTTTCTGAAAACACTAAGCTAAAATTATTTGGAGGAAAAATTTTTTAAGTATTTTAATCTTTTAAAATGCATAAGCTTTGTGCTTGTACTAGGTATGTACCAAAAATGTCACACTGCATGGAATACACAAACTCTGACAGAAACCAAAAAAAGCAATTTTCTAAAGAAATTATTCATCTTTTAAATTTCATCTGAGTCTTCTTTTTAAAAATAATTATAAATAATGGCACACCAGGAGAAATTTATACATTTTTATGAAAATAATAATGACAGCAGTAGAGAGAAAACGAATGCTTACCCTTAAAACTCAGTAATTAGCCTTAAACAATGGAAAATTGTTATGTCATTGAAAATCATTTCATTGCACATAATGTTATTGTCAAGAAACGTCTACATGTAATGTATAATTTTCCTAAACTAAATCCACTGTTTTGATAAAGCAATTCTGACTCCTCAAGTTAATTGTAGAGCACATCTCTTAAACCTCTTCCAATGCAGAAATTAAGCTAGTCACCAACCCATTAGCTATAGACAGCTGATGATAACAGTTAAGTAAATCCTTTTATTGAAAGTACTTTATGTCGAAATTTTTTCTGTAACATTGATTTTAATAATCATAAAGCAACCCAATAAACTATTACCGTTTAGGTTACATGCCCTGAATTGAATGTGCTTTAGAAACACCCGAAGGTACTTGGTAACAATGGAATGTACTGCCTTAGATAATAGCAAGTGTCCACTAAGTTGTCTAACTGACCACAATACTAGGAGTTGGTAAACTAGTCCACCTAGTAAAGATTGTTTCAGACAATATACAATAATTGAACAAATAACAGTATTTTCTTCTTTAAACTCAACATTTATTCATGGAATATAAACTACTTAAGAAATATTTATAGGAAGAGTGTTTCTCTTGAGAGAATTGTAAATTATAAGGCATACACAAAATTGTGCTTTTTATGCATTATTGCTGTTAACAATATGATGAGAATCATTTGAGGACATTTGGTCAAAACCACACAGCAGATTTTGCAGATTGGGATAATTTTGCCTTGCAAGGAGAATGAGTAGAAATAATTTAACATCTCGAAAAGATGACTTTCTTTATCAGGTATTCTTAGCTAAATAATACCAGAATTGCAGCTTTATAGAATGAAAAGAAATATAACATTTTGACATACAACATAAAAGGTAAAATTTTATAGAACATTCTGCTGTAATGCATTACTAAAATTATTAGCAGAATTAAGAGTATGATAATAGTCTCAATTCCCATCAAGGCATCAATGTGGTTGGATTTGATAATATTTAGTAGATACTATACTTTCCTTAAAATCACAGGGATAAGAAAGGAAAGGTTGTTATGAAGTTTTGTATCGGGCTAGGAAATAATTTTTATATTGTGTTCCCAGAGGCTGCAGGTGGATTATTACTTACATTAGGTTGCTCAGGTTAAGTTGATGCAGGAAGGTGAGGAGCAGGAATTATGGCAGGAAAAGGCCTTTAGGAGGCAAAGTGGCCTCCATATTTGGATTCAATCATAATTTTTCTGTTACTAAAACTGCCTAAAGTAGAAGGGATGTGCATCCTTAACTCTTTGCTAGTATAATTAAAAAAGAATTATTTCATGTAGATGGTGCAAATTCACTATTTCTTTTTAAGAAATACATGCATAAGGAAAAACATGCATAAGGATTTCTTGGAAAAGCATGCATAAGGATCTGTACATACCAAAACCAAGTATAAGGAGATTCTGAAATATGAACTCTCTGATAAAACCTATGCTAATAAAATTAATGTCTAAAATCTGTGAGACTATTGTGAAAGTGTACAGAACTGTTATCTTAAGATGCACCCCTCCAGAAAGTGTGGCACCTATGAAATGACAGTCATTGAAAGCCTAGCTTTGCGTATAGAAACCAAGAAAAGCAGTCATAGCTAAGACCAGCTCTGGCTACCTTCTAAACCCAGAGGCAAAGGAGATCCAATAATCAGCTACTTAAAAAGTATCTCTAGCTTTTTAACTACCTTTTTCACCCATAAGAAATATGATTAGGATTCACTGGTTTGCACACTTGGTTCTTTCCTTTCAGATTTTACCACTGTTAAACAAAAATTATAAAAGTCCATTGTTTCGGACTGAGCTTCTGCCTTACGCCCAACAGACCAGACCGAACTAAAATGGAGTCACTCATTCCAAATGCCAAATAACCAAATTGCAACTTTGAGGAAACAGATGAATCTCAAAACAGACCAGTTCTGGCCAGGTGCGTTGGCTCACGCCTGTAATCCCAGCACTTTGGGAGACCAACAAGGGTGGGTCACCTGAAGTCAGGAGTTCAAGACCAGCCTGGCCAACATGGTAAAAACCCATCTCTACTAAAAATGCAAAAATTTGCCAGGTGCAGTGGTGGGTGCCTGTAATCCCAGCTACTCAGGAGGCTGAGGCAGGAGAATTGCTTGAACTCAGCGGTGGAGGTTGCAGTGAGCTGAGATAACACCATTGCACTCCAGCCTGGGCAACAGAGTGAGACTCCGTCTCAAAAAACAAAGAAACAAACAAACAAACAAACAGAGCAGTTCCTTCCTCAACACAGGATATTCCATTCTTCCTGAGTCTGTATAGTAAGGAAGTCCCCTTCATTGATTGTCTTACCAGCCTCTTCCACAGAATGCAACCCATAACAAGCACTTTGTAAATAATGTTTGACTGACCAAATGAATGAGCATCTTTTAAGACACATTCAGTAATCTAGTATATGGAGGATCCACTGTATCCTCTCCAAAATAACAATATGGTTTTTACCTTCAATTGCTTGAGAAGACATCTTTGGCCTGTGCTTCTTAAACTGGGTAATTATTTAGCATTCCAGGAGAATGCATGCAACCAAATGGCATACAATGGTACTTTTGGGGATAATTATTTTTTTCCTCAAAGATTAGAGAAAAAAATAAACTAAGTTATTTAATACATAGTTTTAAAATATTAAATGTGAATTCTGCTAAATAATAGAATGAAAATTCATTTGAAATTTTAAATTTAGAGGCATTTTTTTTGCATAGAATAGTGAATCATTTAAGGTTATCTGGCCAGATCCTGAGAGAGTTATATATTCTTTTACTTCTCATTGGAATAATAGTGGGTAAACATTTCATGAAGTGTTTTTAGGGTATTTTGTTCTCTCTGATACATCAGGTAGAACGTCTTGTAACATAAATTTTATTCCCTGGCAAATCCAATTCCAATTTTTTTTTTTTTTGAGACAGAATTTCTCTCTGTCACCAGGCTGCAATGCATTGGCGTGACCTCGACTCACTGCAACCTCCAGCTCCCAAGTTCAAGCAATTCTCCTGCCTCACCCTCCCAAGTAGCTAGAACTACAGGCGCCCGCCACCATGCCCCGCTAATTTTTGTATTTTTAGTAGAGAAGGAGTTTCACCATATTGGCCAGGCTGGTCTCGAACTACTGACCCTGTGATCCACCCACCTCAGCCTCCCAAAGTGCTGGGATTACAGGTGTGAGCCACCGCACCCAGCCACAATACTCTATTTTTAAGACAGTTTATTATATTGCATAGGAATTTCAAATGACACAAGCTATATTATTTCTGTTTATAAAAATAGAAAAATCTTAAAAGAAATTGATGAATGCAAACCAACATGTTATTCATGCATGCTGTCTTAAAAGGGCTCGGTTTTTATTGTTAACCTGCACTTTAAATGGCCTTTGCTAGAAATGCAGGAATTGCCCCCAGAGTGTTATCAATATAAAAGCATCATAGTGTTTACCACTGCAGGAAATCTTTTTGTTCATGTCTGTTTCCAGCTCTCATTTTGCAGCTGCTTGGCCAATTTGAAATGTTTTGTTCAGAGATGATTAGGGTAAGACTGTGTATGCCTTTTTTTCTCAGGAGAAATCATCAAACACCACTAAAGACAAATTCTCCTGAATAAGAAATCCTTATTAAGTCATTTTTACTATATTTCAGTCCTGTTTGTGCAGCTTAGTAATCACACAAGAGAGGAAGAGCAGAGACAGTTGAGAGTAAAACAAGAGAACAATATATTCACGCTACATAAAGAAGTGAGGTGGGAATATGGAGAAAGAGGAGCAGATGAGAATCAAAGAAAAGAAAAATCAGGTGATTGAAGTAGACACATTGAATGAGGACAGACAAATGAATACGAAGCCCTCTTCTTTAACCTTTTTATGGATTGATGATTTTTGAGAAAGGGGCATGTTTTAGCATTCATATTCTGATAAATACATTCGCATGATGTGATGAAAACACACTTCTGAAATTCTTTTAAAAGTTCTTTACGTTCAGATTTTTACAAGAACAGCTTAGTTTTATAAAAGTTATTTTAAAGAAAAGAATAAGAAACCAATATTACATTTTGAATTAATGACCTTGGTCTTAATTTGAAGTTTGGCCAAGCACAGGGGATGCCTGATCTCATAAAATTCATTCTGTTCATAGTTTATTGAGAGTTCAAAAGGATCCTGCTACAGAAACTTTACCTGCACATTGAAGTCATGTGCAGGCAATATGGATTGACAATGTCTGAGTCTCTAGGAAGACTCAGGAATACTCTCTTCCCACCCATAGCATTAAAATTCTATTATAGAAGTATTCTCCATGTTACACAGAAAGAAATAATAGACTGGATAACTTCAATCATAGTGATCAAGACTTGCAGATTATCTGTTCAAGAAGATAGAATAAGTAAAGTACAGTGTGAATGTCCTTTTGTCCTTGAATTATATCCAGGTGTGCATAGGTAGCAACAGCTACTCTCCACATTGATAGTGGATTGAAGTCACTATTATTGTTGGATTCCATACACCTCTTTCTGGATATTAACTTCTCTTAAAATTAAAATTCCCAGAGGAGAAATTGATTGATTTTTCTAGATCATGTGCCCACAACATGGCTAGAGCAGGGCAGGAAGCTTCGAAGTGAGAGTCACACAGGGAGTCTGCAAAGGTGCAGTTGGAATTTTTGAAATCATGCTACCCTTTCATTTTCCCCATTACATTAATGTGAAATATTTATCTTGCAACGTTGGTGTGAAGAGCGAATAAGAAATCTTGCTTCCATTCATTCTACAAATATTTAATGAGGTTTGATATGATTTGGCTCTGTGTCTCCACCCAAATCTCATCTCGAATTACAATCTCCACACGTTGAGGGAGGGACCTGGTGGGAGGTTACTGGATCATGGGGGCAGTTTTCCCTATGTTGTTCTTGTGAGTTCTAACAAGATATGATGGTTTAAAAGTGTGGTGTTTCCTCTCTCTCTATCCCGCTCTCTCCCTCCCTCCCTCTTTCCCTCTCTCTCCTGCCACCACGTAAGACATACCTTGCTTCCCCTTCACCTTCTGCCATGATTGTAAGTTTCCTGAGGACTCCCAGCCATGCAAAACTATGAGTCAATTAAACCTCTAGTCTTTATAAATGACCCAGTCTCAGGTAGTTCTTTAAAGTAGTGTGAAAATGGACTAATACAAGGTTGTATATGTTCAAGACTCATTTTTGTATGAAAGTAGATTGCTCCTATCAATGTTATAGAATATTTTTTATTTCTGTAAGTATTCAGAAAATATTTTTTCCTGATTTTAGATACTATCATGAACAGGCAAGAAAATATACTTTGAAATCATAGTAACCCTTTTTGGTGCTACACTGTGGCATAGCACTGTAGGTGAAAACTTGGTGTAAAAACTCACTTCTGGCAATTAAACCTGAAGAAGAAAGTTATAGTACCAAATTTTAGCATAAAATCATTTGAATTATTAGCATTATCTAAATATTCTTGTGTGATGATGTTATTTGTATCTAAATATTACACATGACATAGGTTAATATATAGTCTAAAATTTGACAGCAAAAGCGAGAGTTAACATGTATTGGGGTTCTAGGTGTGGTGGCTCATGCCTGCAATCGCAGCACTTTGGGAGGCCAAGGCAGGAGGGTTACTTGAACTTATCAGTTCAAGACCAGCCTGGGCAACATGGTGAGACCCCATCTCTACAAAAAAGTGCAAAAATTAGCTGAGTGTGGTGGTGTGAGTTTGTAGTCCCAGCTACTCAGGAGGCTGAGGTGCATGGATGGCTTGAGTCCTAGAGGTGGAGGCTGCAGTGAACCGTGTTTGTGTCACTGAATAACAGCCTGAACAACCTGCCTGTCTCAAAATAAAAACTGAGAGTTTACTATGTGCCAGAAGCTAATTGCTTGATTCATATTAACTCAATCGTTTTCTAGAACTCAACAATTTAGATACTTTTATTTGCATTATTTTCAGTTGAAAAGTCTGTGGTCAATTAACTTTTCCAAGGCTACATGTTTAATATGTAGATACCTTTTTCTCTTTCACAAATGAGTATATGAAGGCACTGTGAAACCAACTTAATTTTCACAAGGTTACGTGGCTAATATCAAGCAGAGATGGAATCTGAATGTAGGCTGCAAGGTAAAAAGAAAATACGCTCAGCTATTAGGCTATTCTGTCAATATCATACTCAAATGAGCCACCCAGAGGTGGAGGTAAATAAATAAATACAACAAAACATAAGTTTTTCTATTTAAAACATTTTTCAATTAAATTTTTAGTTAGAAAGGAAATAATGTTACCAGAAATTTGGAAAACAACAAAAAAGCAGAATTAATCATTATACATAGTAGGCCCGTCACAGTGGCTCACGCATATAATCTCTGCACATTGGGAAGTCAAGGCTGGAATATTGCATGAGGCCAGGAGTTCGAGACCAGCTTGGGCAACACAGTGAGATCCCATCTGTAAAAAATATCTAAAAATTAGCCAAACATGTGGCCCACTTCTGTAGTCCTATTTACTCATGAGGCTGAGGTGGGAGATTACTTGAGCCCAGGAGTTTGTGGTTGCAGTGAGCTATGATCACGACTGTACTCCAGCCTAAGTGACAGAGCAAGACTATGTCTTTTTAAGAAAATAAAAATAAAAAAGAGTTATATATGACAATTTCAGAAATGCCATTGTTAACACTTTGGAGTATTTACACTGTTTTTACACTTTCATTAAATATATATTTCATAAAATACTTAGTAGTAAGTACAAAAATTTGTATTTTGCTTTTCATTAATATAATGTTATACATATGTATTTACATATATACACACATATAAATATAAACATATGCATACACACACACACACACACACACATATATATACATATATATCAGCTATTCTTTTTTTTTTTTTTTTTTGAGACAGAGTCTTGCTCTGTCACCCAGGCTGGAGTGCAGTGGCGCGATCTCAGCTCACTGCAAGCTCTGCCTCCCAGCTTCAAGCCATTCTCCTGCCTCAGCCTCCCGAGTAGATGGGACTACAGGTGCCCGCCACCACGCCCGGCTAATTTTTTGTATTTTTAGTAGAGACGGGGTTTCACCATGTTAGCCAGGATGGTCTCAATCTCCTGACCTCGTGATCCACCCGCCTCGGCCTCCCAAAGTGGTGGGATTACAGGCGTGAGCCACTGCGCCGGGCCAGATATTCTTTCTTCTATTATCATAATTACCCAGCCCTTTATCTTCAGTAATCAGAGGTGTTTGTTATATGGCTGAAGCCAAAATAATGATATAAATTAGATATTTCTAATTCATTTTTATTTTTAAAAAGTGATCTTTTTCCAGTTTGTATTTTGTGAAAATTGTAGTCAGCCTCCCACTTTTTCTCTTACATAAATCTATTTCTTCCTAATAAGGTCAATTTCAGAAGAGGAATTATTGGGTCAAATAGGCCTCCTAATTTTGAATAGTTTTGTGTGGTTTGGCATTTGAATTATAATCCTTTTATCCTTCTGTTTTATGAATCCTTTTAAAAGAAACTAAGGCAGACTCTCAGAATTTGAACTAGTATCTTTTTAAATTTGATACTCAGGCCATTACTTAGTATACTCTGGGCTCAGAGTCAGAAAGTCCTAAAAGGATATAGGGGTTCCTCTTTTCTTGGCATCCCATGAAAAGGCATGCTTAGGCTTGCTGAATCTATCATCGAGATGGACCCCAGTAGAAGATGTTGCTCTACCTCTCACTTTCTCTGCTTTTTGTAGACTAAGAGTGAGACACATCATGCAAGAGTTTGGGAGTCACAGACACAGTTTGAGTCCAGTCGCCAGGCAACCTGATATTTGCTTCCAGAGGTTTATAGGATTGAATACAGAAACCAGAGGTGTAGCATCTGGAGAACTTGAAGGTCCCTGAACAAATGGCACATTGAGTTTGAATGTGCCTCCTCTTATTGAAGAAAAAGGAAAGTCTTAAGTAATGTGGGAAGTTTTAGACTCTCCTGCTGGAAGAGAGAAAGCCATATTTCCCAACTACCTCCTTATGAGGCAATCCAAAGAGAACTCCCAGGATTAATCGTGACTGGTGGTCTTCAAAAATAGTCCTCTGGATCTGAAATTATGTCTTCTTCCAAAGTTTTTCCAGCTGGGTGGAGTGGCTCATGCCTGAAATCCCAGCACTTTGGGAGGTTAAGGTAGGTGGATCACCTGAGGTCAGGAGTTCAAGACCAGCCTGGCCAACACGGTGAAACCACCTCTCTACTAAAAATACAAAAATTAGCCTGGCGTTGTGGCATATGCCTGTAATCCTCACTACTAGGGAGACTGAGACAGGAGAATCACTTGAACCCAGGAGGTGAAGGTTGTAGTGAGCCGAGATGGTGCCACTGCACTCTAGCCTGGGTGACAGAGCAAGACTCTGTCTCAAAAAACAAACAAACAAAAATCTTCTACTATCTCTAGGAACCACAAAGAGATCTTAAACTATTCAAGGAGTAATTTCTCCCTCTAAACACTGCTTTAGCTGTGTCCCAGAGATTCTGGTACATTGTGTCTTTGTTCTCATTGGCTTCAAAGACCTTATTTATTTCTGCCTTAATTTTGTTGTTTACCCAGTAGTCATTCAGGATCAGTTCAGTTTCAATGTAGTTATGTGGTTTTGAGTGAGTTTCTTAATCCTGAGTTCTAATTTGATTGTACTGTGATCTGAGAGACTCTTTGTTATGATTTCCATTTCTTTTTGGCATTTGCTGGGAAGTGTCTTATTTTCAATTATGTGGTCAACTTTAGAATCAGTGTGATGTGATGCTAAGAAGAATGTATATTCTGTTGATTTGTAGTGGAGAGTTCTGTGGATGTCTATTAGGTCCACTTGGTTCAGAGCTGAGTTCAAGTCCTGAATATCCTTGTTAATTTTCTGTCTCATTGATCTGTCTAATATTGACAGTGGGTGTTAAAGTCTCCCACTATTATTGGATGGGAGTCTAAATCTCTTTGTAGGTCTCAAAGTGTGTCCGGAATTGGTGGGTTCTTGGTCTCACTGACTTCAAGAATGAAGCTGCGGACCCTCGCGGTGAGTGTTACAGCTCTTAAGGTGGCGCGTCTGGAGTCTGTCCCTTCTGATGTTCAGATGTGTTCGGAGTTTCTTCCTTCTGGTGGGTTCGTGGTCTCGCTGGCTCAGGAGTGAAGCTGCCGACCTTCGCGGTGAGTGTGACAGCTCTTAAGGCAGCGCGTCTGGAGTTGTTCGTTCCTCCTGGTGGGCTCGTGGTCTCGCTGGGCTCAGGAGTGAAGCTGCAGATCTTTGCGGTGAGTGTTACAGCTCATAAAAGCAGCGTGGACCCAAAGAGTGAGCAGTAGCAAGATTTATTGCAAAGAGCAAAAGAACAAAGCTTCCACAGTGTGGAAGGGGACCCGAGCAGGTTGCCAATGCTGGCTCGGGCAGCCTGCTTTTATTCTCTTATCTGGCCCCACCCACACCCTGCTGATTGGTAGAGCCGAGTGGCCTGTTTTGTCAGGGCGCTGATTGGTGCATTTACAATCCCTGAGCTAGATACAAAGGTTCTCCACGTCCCCATCACATTAGTTAGATACAGAGTTTCCACACACAGGTTCTCCAAGGCCCCACCAGAGCAGCTAGATACAGAGTGTCGATTGGTGCATTCACAAACCTTGAGCTAAACACAGGGTGCTGATTGGTGTGTTTACAAACCTTGAGCTAGATACAGAGTGCCGATTGGTGTATTTACAATCCTTGAGCTAGACATAAAGGTTATCCACGTCCTCACCAGAGCAGCTAGATACAGTGTCGATTGGTGCACTCACAAACCTTGAGCTAAGCACAGGGTGCTGATTGGTGTGTTTACAAACATTGAGCTAGATACACAGTGCCGATTGGTGTATTTACAATCATTGAGCTAGACATAAAGGTTCTCCACGTCCTCACCAGAGCAGCTAGATATGGAGTGTCGATTGGTGCACTCACAAACCTTGAGCTAAACACAGGGTGCTGATTGGTGTATTTACAATCCCTGAGCTAGATATAAAGACTCTCCACGTCCCCACCAGACTCAGGAGCCCACCTGGCTTCACCTAGTGGATCCCGCACCGGGGCTGCAGGTGGAGCTGCCTGCCAGTCCTGCGCAGTGCACTCGCATTCCTTAGCCCTTGGGTGGTCGATGGGACTGGGCGCCATGGGGCAGGGGGTGGCGCTCGTCAGGGAGGCTCAGGCTGGAAAGGAGCCCATGGAGTGGGTGGGAGGCTCAGGCATGGCAGGCTGCAGGTCCGAGCCCTGCCCCGTGGGAAGGCAGCCAAGGCCCGGCGAGAAATCGAGTGCAGCGCCCGCCAGTGGGCCAGCACTGCTGGGGGACTCAGTACACCCTCCGCAGCCACTGGACCGGGTGCTAAGTCCCCCATTGTCCGGGGCCAGCAGGGCTGGCTGGCTGCTCCGAGTGCGGGGCCCACCAAGCCCACGCCCACCCGGAACTCCAGCTGGCCCGCAAGCGCCGCACGCAGCCCCGGTTCCTGCTCGTGTCTCTCCCTCCACACCTCCCTGCAAGCTGAGGAAGTGGGCTCCAGCCTTGGCCAGCCCAGAAAGGGGCTCCCACAGTGCAGTGGGGGGGCTGAAGGGCTCCTCAAATGCCACCAAAGTGGGAGCCCAGGCAGCGGAGGTGCCGAGAGCAAGCGAGGGCTCTGAGGACTGCCAGCATGCTGTCACCTCTCAAAAGAACTTGCTTTATGAATCTGGGTGCTCTTGTATTGGGTGCATATATATTTAGGATAGTTAGCTCTTCTTGTTGCATTGATCTCTTTAGCATTATGTAATGCCCTTCTTTGCCTTTTTTGATCTTTGTTGTTTTAGAGTCTGTTTTATCAGGGACTGGAATTATAACCCTTGCTTTTTTTTTTTTTTTTTTTTTTTTTGCTTTCCATTTTCTTGGTAAATATTCCTCTATCCCCTTTTTTGAGGCTATGTGTATCTCTGCATGTGAGATGGGTATCCTGAATATAGCACACAGATGGGTCTTGACTCTTTATCCAATTTGCCAGTCTGTGTCTTTTAATTGAGGCCTTTAGCCTGTTTACATTTAAGGTTAATATTGTTATGTGTGAATTTGATCCTGTCATTATGATGCTAGCTGGTTATTTTGTCCATTAGTTGATGCAGTTTCTTCATAGTTTTGATGGTCTGTAGAGATATTTAGAGAACCGAATGCCCACAGGAGAAAGCGAGAAAGATCTAAAATAGGCACCCCAACATCACAATTAAAAGAACTAGAGAAGCAAGAGCAAACACATTCAAAAGCTAGCAGAAGGCAAGAAATAACTAAGACCAGAGCAGAACTGAAGGAGACAGAGACATGAAAAACTCTTCAAAAAAAAATCAATGAATCCATGAACTGGTTTTTTGGAAAGATTAACAAAATAGCTATACTGCTAGCCAGACTAATAAAGAAGAAAAGAGAGAAGATTCAAGTAGACACAATAAAAAATGATAAAGAGGATATCTCCGCCAATCCCACAAAAATACAAACTACCATCAGAGAATACTATGAACACCACTACACAAATAAACTGGAAAATCTGGAAGAAATGGATAAATTCCTGGACACACACACCCTCCCAAGACTAAACCAGGGAGAAGGCAAATCCCTGAATAGAACAATAACAAGTTCTGAAATTGAGGCAGTAATTAATAGACTACCAACCAAAAAATGCCCAAGATCAGATGGATTCACAGCCAAATTCTGCAGGAGGTACAAAGAGGAGCTGTTACAACTCCTTCTGAAACTATTCCAAACAGTAGAAAAAAATGACTCCTCCCTAACTCACTTTATGAGGCCAGCATCATCCTGATACCAAAATCTGGCAGAGACACAACAAAAAAAAAAGAAAACTTTAACTGGGCGTGGTAGCTCATGCCTGTAATCCCAGCACTTTGGTAGGCCAAGGCGGGCAGATCACAAGGTCAGGAGATCAAGACCATGCTGACTAACACAGTGAAACCCCGTCTCTACTAAAAATACAAAAAAAAAAAAAAAAACCAGGCATGGTGGTGGGCGCCTGTAGTCCCAGCTACTTGGGAGGCTGAGGCAGGAGAATGGTGTGAACCTGGGAGGCAGAGCTTGCAGTGAGCCAAGATCACACCACTGCACTCCAGCCCGGGCAACAGAGTGAGACTCTGTCTCAAAAAAAAAAAAAGAAAGAAAAAAAAGAAAAAAGAAAACTTCAGGCCAACATCCCTGATGAACATCTATGCAAAAATCCTCAATAAAATACTGGCAAATCAAATCCAGCAGCACATCAAAAAGCTTATCCACCACGATCAAGTTGGTTTCATCCCTGAGATGCAAGGCTGATTCAACATATGCAAATCAATAAACATAATCCATCACATAAACAGAACCATTGACAAAAGCCAAATGATTATCTCAATAGATGCATAAAAGGCCTTTGATAAAATTCAACACCGCTTCATGCTATAAACTCTCAATAAACTAGGTATTAATGGAACATATCTCAAAATAATAAGAGCTATTTATGACAAACCCGTAGCCAATGTCATAATGAAAGGGCAAAAGGTGGATGCATTCCCTTTGAAAACTGGCACATGACAAGGATGCTCTCTCTCACCACTCCTATTCAACATAGTATTGGAAGTTCTGGCCATGGCAATCAGGCAAGGGAAAGAAATAAAAGTATTCAAATAGGAAGAGAGGAAGTCAAATTGTCTCTGTTTGCAGATGACATCATGGCATATTTAGAAAATCCCATTGCCTCAGCCCAAAATCTTCTTATAACCTGATAAGCAACTTCAGCAAAGTCTCAGGATACAAAATCAATGCGCAAAAATCATGAGTATTCCTCTACACCAATAATAGACAAACAGAGAGCCAAATCATGAGTGAACTCTCATTCACAATTGCTATAAAGAAAATAAAATACTTAGGAATACAACTAACAAGGGATGTGAAGGACCTCTTCAAAGAGAATTACAAACCACTGCTCAAGGAAATAAGAGAAAACACAAACAAATAGGAAAACATTCCATTCTCATGGATAGGAAGAATCAATATTGTGAAAATGACCATATGGCCCAAAGTAATTTAGAGATTCAATGCTATGCCCATCAAGCTGCTATTGACTTTCTTTATAGAATTAGAACTAAATTACTTTAAATTTCATATGAAACCTAAAAAGAGCACATATTCTTGTGATAGTTTGCTGAGAATGATGGTTTCCAGCTTCATCCGTGTCCCTACAAAGGACATGAACTCATCCTTTTTTATGGCTGCATAGTATTCCATGGTGTATATGTGTCACATTTTCTTAATCCAGTCTATCATTGATGGACATTTGGGTTGGTTCCGAGTCTTTGCTATTGGACTCATAGGTGGGAATTGAACAATGACAACACTTGGGCACAGGAAGGGGAACATCACAAACCGGGGCCTGTTGTGGGGTAGGAGAAGGGGGGAGGGAAAGCATTAGGAGATATACCTAATGTAAATGATGAGTTAATGGGTACAGCACACCAACATGGCACATGTACACATATGTAACAAACCTGCATGTTGTGCACATGTACCCTAGAACTTAAAGTATAATTAAAAAAAAGGAAAAAATAAAAATAAGAAATAGAAATAAAAAACCCAAAAAACTGAAAAAAAAAAAAGAGCACATATAGCCAAGACAGTCCTAAGCAAAAAGATTAAAGCTGGAGGCATCACACTACCTGACTTCAAACTATACTACGAGGCTACAGTAACCAAAACAGCATGGTACTGGTACCAAAACAAAGATATAACCCAATGGAACAGAACAGAGGCCTCAGAAATAACACCAACCATCATCCTACAACCAACTGATCCTTGACAAACCTGACAAAAACAAGCAATGGGGAAAGGATTCCCTATTTAATAAATGGTGTGGGAAAACTGGCTAGCCATATGCAGAAAGCTGAAACTGGACCCCTTCCTTACGCCTTATGCAAAAATTAACTGAAGATGGATTAAAGACTTAAACGTAAGACCTAAAACCATAAAAACCCTAGAAGAAAACCTAGGCAATACCATTCAGGACATAGGCATGGGCAAAAACTTCATGACTAAAACACCAAAAGCAATGGCAACAAAAGCCAAAATTGACAAATGGGATCTAATTAAACTTAAAAGCTTCTGCACAGTAAAAGAAACTATCATCGGAGTGAACAGGCAACCTACAGAATGGGAAAAAATTTTTGCAATCTATCCATCTGACAAAGGGCTAATATCCAGAATCTATAAGGAACTTAGACAAATTTACAAGAAAAAAACAAACAACCCCATCAAAAAGTGTCTGTTCAGACACTTCTCAAAAGAAGACATTTATGCAGCCAACAAACATATGAAAAAAAAGCACATCATTACTGGTCATTAGAGAAATGCAAAGCAAAAACACAATGAGATCCCATCTCACACCAGTTAGAATGGCAATCATTAAAAAGTCGGGAAACAACAGATGCTGGAGAGGATGTGGAGAAATAGGAATGCTTTCACACCACTGGTGGGAGTGTAAGTTAATTCAACCATTGTGGGAGACAGTGTGGTGGTTCCTCAAGGATCTGGAACCAGAAATACCATTTGACCCATGGATCTCATTACTGGGTATATACCCAAAGATTATAAATCATTCTAATATAAAGACACATGCACATATGTTTATTGCAACACTGTTTCCCATAGCAAAGACTTGGAACCAACCCAAATGCCCAGCAATGATAGACTGGATAAAGAAAATGTGGCACATATGCACCCTGGAATACTATGCAGCCATAGAAAAGGATGAGTTCATGTCTTTTGCAGGGACATGGATGAAGCTAGAAACCATCATTCTCAGCAAACTAACACAGGAACAGAAAAACCAAACACTGCATGTTCTCACTCATAAGTGGGAGTTGAACAATGAGAATACATGGACACAGGGAGAGAAACATCACACACTGGGTCCTGTTGGGGGGTAGGGGACAAGAGGAGAGATAGCCTTAGGAGAAATACCTAATGTAGATGACTGGTTGATGAGTGCAGCAAACCACTATGGCACATCTATACCTACATAACAAACATGCACGTTCTGCATATGTATGTCAGAACTTAAAGTATAATAATTAAAAAAAGAAGTAATTTTTCCAGGACGTTGAGGCATCTACATACTGCATTGAAAAGTGAGGAACTGAAAGAAAACTCTAAATAAGGAGGTAAGAGAAGGGACAAGGAGCTTTGTCTGAAGTTCCCACAACTTAAGTTGGTAAGGATTTCAGGGAGCTTCCTCAGTAAATCAACCTGCAAATTTCAGTTCAGCTCTGTGTTGAATTCTAAGAAATTCAGTAATCATTCTAAGCTCCAGATGCCAGGGCTTGATAATCACTCTGCAAACAATTGCATGGAGGTAACTCCCCTTGGGCCCTTTTCCATTCTGTTGATTTGTGTGGTGTTCAGAGGCCTATTATCTCTTCAGTCTTTTTTTCTTCCAGGAACTAATCTTGGACTTCTCTTCCTCTTCACCTCCAGAGTAGCTATTACCACTTGGAATTATAGCAAACTTTGTGCAAAATCAATCCACGCAGGCAAACTAGAAAGTAAACTTCTGCCAGCTGGATTTATGCATGACAGGACCTATCTTACGTTTTTTATTGTAGGATGATGGAATCCCTCACTCTATATTTTTAAAGGAGTCAAACAACCTGGCCATGCCTGTTTCCATGAAGCAAATTGTTTTCTGCCATTTTTCAGAAGATGCAATTGCGTTCCAGAGAAGAATGGGAACCATGAGAGGTGTTAATGCAGAGAATACTCTAGTAGATGTTCTGATCACTCACTTCTAGCTAAAGAGCATATCCCTACACAACCAGGAGATTACATCACTTATGATCAAGATCCTTGAAAGCTATTTAGGATAGTCCACTTATAATCAATTCTCACTAATTTTATGATATAAATATTATATTTATAGTTTTATCAGCCCTTCATTCCTAACCTCATCTGTTTTATATTATATCCCACTATGTTTTTGTGTAAAATTAGAATTAACTTGTGATATCAAGCTGCGTCCTATTTATATTCAGAGATTAGGCATTTAGTTCTATTTTTGAAGGTGAAAATCCTTTAAAGGGAAATCCTGTAGTTGTTAAAGAAGTGAAACCTCCTACGGCTTTTTCATCCTATTTTGGAGTATTGTGGGAAAGTAGCCAAAATTCCTATTTTCCCAGCTTTCGTTGTTCTATAAAATAACCATCACCATGACAATATTCTCATGTCTCTTATAAAAGATCCACAATCGTTTGACAATTAAATATATTAACTTGTTAAATCTGAGTCACCAACTGAATTTAGACATTAGTTGAATCTGAGACATGAGTTGAATTCAGAACCCCACTAAACTGCTTTTTAAATACTAGAACTAATATAATCCCTCTTTGGGGATATATTAGGATTTGGTATCTTTACTTCATTTATCTAAACTTGACTTTATTTTAGTAGACTAAAAAAATGCTCATTTTATTGAGGTTATTGCATCCCATGTGGAAAGTGAAATATGGAGGTGCTAGACCACTGACTCATGAGTTAAAGGAATTTGGTGGAGTGTAAATGAAAAGGATGCCATCATTCAATTAGAAATTCCTATATTAGGAACAGTCAAATTATAATTTGTTATAAGTTATCCAATCTAATTTTCTATTTTTTGGCAAATTTTCTTTTCCCTGGTTGTTAACTGTAATTGCTCAAATGTGCTAGATAAATATTTATTAAAAGATTTTCATGCTAAGGTTTCAGAGATGAAACCAATGAACTCATGTAGCATGACTTACACTCTTTAAATCTAGGATAAATTGAAAGAAGGACAAGACTTCTGAGAGGTTGGCCACCTCTTATTATGAAACGTCTGTTCTCCCCACCTCCCACCCCCATCTTTAGACTCTGTTAAGCCAAATGGTGTATAAAGCTGACCCGATACACTTTTAATACACCTAAATCTCTAAGCTTTACTAGAGACTCCATGGGATTTTTGTGTACCCAAAAATGATCAATCTCTCCACGTACCCAAGATTGACAACAATCTGGGGCTAATCTTGATGTTCTGAATCTGACTGGTGGGTAAATGTTAAAATGCTAGAGGCTGTATCTCAGCTTGGCTAAGTTATTTAATTGAATTAAGTGATACCACATGTAAAACTTAAAAGACTCATACAAAAGTAAGAAATGTAATGAAACACTGCTGTTTCCCCATTTTATTAGTTGTTATATTCTTTTCATTTTCTGCATCAGGAAAAACTGTTTTATTATTCTCTATGTCATTACTGTGCTTTTGAAAGATATAGAATTGACAACCTCAGCAAAGAAAATGTCTTTATTCATGAAGAAAACAATTATATGAGCAGCAGCAGTTTCTACTTTGCTTGCATAGCTCCCAGCAAATATTTCTTAAAACTACTGGAAAAAAGGTCTATAAGGCATTACAGGAAGAAACAGACATGACCCTTATTTCATTTCCTATTCACCATGAATTCCTACAACCCCAGGGTAGCAGGGACTTTGGAAACCTGGGTTGAATGATTCATGCCAGATCAGTGACCTAATATCCGTTGAGAGGTGGTGCTTCATTGCTATTTACTAAGGCCATCTCCCTCAAAGAGACCTTGAGTAGGGTGACTCCTCTCTCATCAAAAATCTCCCTCTAAATCCCCCTTGACATTAAAAATGCTGTGTCCTATCTTTGGTGAGTTTTTGAAACTGCAGACTTGGCACCTTCTAGTGAATAGCTATGCTCCTATTTTCAGTTAAACAAACAAACAAACAAAAAACACTAACTGTATTTCACAATGTGTAAAGTTTGGAATTTGGAGGGGTTTCGGGTATAAATCATTTTTTATACATACAGTTTACATAGTCTTGTTGATCTTTTCCTTGCCACTGAATACCTGAAGCTACTGTAATAGCCTTCTAAGTGTTTTGCTTCTTAGCAGAAAATGATTTATTGAGTAATGTTACAGCCATTCCCAGGGTAAGTGAGGATGGTATTGAAGTGACTTATGTGACAGTCTCAATTTTGCAGCACCAGTGCCCTTATTAGAGTTCTTCATGGACAAATCAAAAATCTAAAAGTAATCTGCTTTCATCCGTTAAAGATTCTTCTCCCCACAATCACACTTCTGTGATGATAGAACACTTTTTTCCCCCAAAGGGATGGATGAGAATGATATGGCTACTATCTAATCTACGCAATATCCTTCCAGAAGATAATATAAAGTCTGAAGAGTATTCCAAATACTCAGAGAAAGCCTAACTTACAGATTCTTCTCTCTCCTTCCAAAACCACTGCTATACACAAACTTACTGTGATATCAGCAGTCTTATATTTTAGATGTTGTTGCTGTTTTTTCTTATTCTCCTTTGCATCCAGGCAACCCATCTCTATTCTTAACTTGCATCCTGGAAGGCTTATCTCAAGTAAATAGGACACAGCAGAACACCGAGCAAAGCAATTTTACTAACAATCCTACCTCATTTCAAAGGTTTTCTCTGTTCTTGCTAAGGTTTTAATTGACATACACATTTGGAAATTCAAATTTATTGATTTCTAGCAGTCCTCACTTAGTAATGACTATCCACTTAACCTTCTTAAAATTAAAATTCAAAGGGAAGAGTTTTTATTTATTTTACAAATATAACGCAGTATGTATTACTGATAATAATAGTTGGTTAAGTATGACTGTAACTGCATCTTTTCATTGGGTAAGCTTGTAAAGGAGAGAGAGTTTCTTGCTAACCACATAATCTCTGTAAATAGAATCTTTCTGGAACAACTGTTATGTATAAAATTAGCTTTGTTTAAAATTCACATCCAAATACAATGTGAGTCTATTTATCACATCTTCCTTTTTCACATCTAAAAATCATAAAACACTCTGAAATAGTCATTCTCTTCATCTTCATTTTATAAGCAACTGCTTAATTTGCATTAGCAACCTAAACAATCATCATTTTATAGAAATTGAAGCATTTACAATTAAAATATCTGCAGGCCAATTATTCACAACTGGAGTATTTAAGAAGATAACTAGCATCCTGAGTAGCTGAGAATACAGGCATGTGCCACCACACCCAGCTAATTTTTTTATAATTTGTAGAGATGAGGTCTCACTATATTGTCAAGGCTGGTCTTTAACTTTAGCCTCAAGAAATCCTCCACCTCAGCCTCCCAAAATGCTGGGATTATAGGTGTGAGCCACTGAACCCAGCCAAGCACCAAGATACTGTGGGTGATAGGTACCACGGCAGTGCTCTGTGGAGATTTGTTTTTTTTTTTTCTTGAGACGGAGTCTCGCTCTGTCACCCAGGCTGGAGTGCAGTGGCGTGATCTCGGCTCATTGCAACCTCTGCCTCCCGGGTTCAAGCCATTCTCCTGCCTCAGCCTCCCGAGTAGCTGGGACTACAGGCACCCGCCACCACGCCCGGCTAATTTTTTGTATTTTTAGTAGAGACGGGGTTTCACCGTGTTACCCAGGATGGTCTCAATCTCCTGACCTCGTGATCCACCCACTTCGGCCTCCCAAAGTACTGGGATTACAGGCATGAGCCACCGCTCCTGGCCGAGATTCTTAACTGAAAATATTTATGTCAAATTATTACCCAAGTGTGTTCTGCCTTCACAGCTAAGTAAGCTTTTTATAATCGTCTGTTAATTTGCAACTTTAAACCCACCACTCATTGTTATTCCTTTCTATTGCAAAAAAAAAAAAAAAAGCCACTTCCTTGTTAAAGAGCTAAGGTGACATCAACACTGCTGTCTAGCTGTGCCCTTGTGGTTCTAGCAATTTTAACAGTCGTCAGAAAGCACAGGTCTGTCTCTAAGTCATGAGGTTTTAAACATAGCTCACTAAAAATAAATAAATAAAAAAGAAGATA